>NC_000003.12:169614664-169766180 GCF_000001405.40 Homo sapiens | reverse complement strand
AGATGGAGAGGGAGATATTTTACTTTTCTTTCAGATCGAGGACCGACAGCGACAACTCCACGGAGTTTATCTAACTGAATACGAGTAAAACTTTTAAGATCATCCTGTCATTTATATGTAAAACTGCACTATACTGGCCATTATAAAAATTCGCGGCCGGGTGCGGTGGCTCATACCTGTAATCCCAGCACTTTGGGAGGCCGAAGCGGGTGGATCACTTGAGCCCTGGCGTTCGAGACCAGCCTGGGCAACATGGTGAAACCCCCGTCTCTACTAAAAACACAAAAACTAGCTGGGCGTGGTGGCAGGCGCCTGTAATCCCAGCTACTCAGGAGGCTGAGACACGAGAATCGCTTGAACCCGGGAGGCAGAGGTTGCAGTGAGCCGAGATCACGCCACTAGACTCCATCCAGCCTGGGCGAAAGAGCAAGACTCCGTCTCAAAAAAAAAAATCGTTACAATTTATGGTGGATTACTCCCCTCTTTTTACCTCATCAAGACACAGCACTACTTTAAAGCAAAGTCAATGATTGAAACGCCTTTCTTTCCTAATAAAAGGGAGATTCAGTCCTTAAGATTAATAATGTAGTAGTTACACTTGATTAAAGCCATCCTCTGCTCAAGGAGAGGCTGGAGAAGGCATTCTAAGGAGAAGGGGGCAGGGTAGGAACTCGGACGCATCCCACTGAGCCGAGACAAGATTCTGCTGTAGTCAGTGCTGCCTGGGAATCTATTTTCACAAAGTTCTCCAAAAAATGTGATGATCAAAACTAGGAATTAGTGTTCTGTGTCTTAGGCCCTAAAATCTTCCTGTGAATTCCATTTTTAAGGTAGTCGAGGTGAACCGCGTCTGGTCTGCAGAGGATAGAAAAAAGGCCCTCTGATACCTCAAGTTAGTTTCACCTTTAAAGAAGGTCGGAAGTAAAGACGCAAAGCCTTTCCCGGACGTGCGGAAGGGCAACGTCCTTCCTCATGGCCGGAAATGGAACTTTAATTTCCCGTTCCCCCCAACCAGCCCGCCCGAGAGAGTGACTCTCACGAGAGCCGCGAGAGTCAGCTTGGCCAATCCGTGCGGTCGGCGGCCGCTCCCTTTATAAGCCGACTCGCCCGGCAGCGCACCGGGTTGCGGAGGGTGGGCCTGGGAGGGGTGGTGGCCATTTTTTGTCTAACCCTAACTGAGAAGGGCGTAGGCGCCGTGCTTTTGCTCCCCGCGCGCTGTTTTTCTCGCTGACTTTCAGCGGGCGGAAAAGCCTCGGCCTGCCGCCTTCCACCGTTCATTCTAGAGCAAACAAAAAATGTCAGCTGCTGGCCCGTTCGCCCCTCCCGGGGACCTGCGGCGGGTCGCCTGCCCAGCCCCCGAACCCCGCCTGGAGGCCGCGGTCGGCCCGGGGCTTCTCCGGAGGCACCCACTGCCACCGCGAAGAGTTGGGCTCTGTCAGCCGCGGGTCTCTCGGGGGCGAGGGCGAGGTTCAGGCCTTTCAGGCCGCAGGAAGAGGAACGGAGCGAGTCCCCGCGCGCGGCGCGATTCCCTGAGCTGTGGGACGTGCACCCAGGACTCGGCTCACACATGCAGTTCGCTTTCCTGTTGGTGGGGGGAACGCCGATCGTGCGCATCCGTCACCCCTCGCCGGCAATGGGGGCTTGTGAACCCCCAAACCTGACTGACTGGGCCAGTGTGCTGCAAATTGGCAGGAGACGTGAAGGCACCTCCAAAGTCGGCCAAAATGAATGGGCAGTGAGCCGGGGTTGCCTGGAGCCGTTCCTGCGTGGGTTCTCCCGTCTTCCGCTTTTTGTTGCCTTTTATGGTTGTATTACAACTTAGTTCCTGCTCTGCAGATTTTGTTGAGGTTTTTGCTTCTCCCAAGGTAGATCTCGACCAGTCCCCTCAACGGGGTGTGGGAGAACAGTCATTTTTTTTTGAGAGATCATTTAACATTTAATGAATATTTAATTAGAAGATCTAAATGAACATTGGAAATTGTGTTCCTTTAATGGTCATCGGTTTATGCCAGAGGTTAGAAGTTTCTTTTTTGAAAAATTAGACCTTGGCGATGACCTTGAGCAGTAGGATATAACCCCCACAAGCTTAGCGTTCCAATAACGGAACACTAGGCATAATGAAAGACGGAAAAGAAATTTATTCCACACCCCCCACCCCCAACCCTCCCAGCCGGCAGTCTCCCACAAGAATTGGCTCTGATTTCCTTTAAGAAAATAAGCTAATGGCCCACTAGGTTGAAAGAAACAAACAGGCCATTCTGCCCACTTATCACGACAAGGTAATTCCGTCCCAAATCCATACCTTCAATTCCTTAGGATCATCTGGGGGTAGTTGCCAAGAGAGAGAGCAGCCAGGGGTGTGTATATAAAGGCCCACCTTTAGGGTGATAGCCTGAATCCTGATGATTGAAAGTCAGAAGTCAAGACCATGTCAGTAAATTTATGAACATGTATATTTGTAGCTTTTTAACCTATTACCTAAGTAGGTCCCCTGGAATTGTCTAGCAGATACATTTCTTAGCACTATTAGAATTAAGAAATGTAAAAAAACCTCTAGAGTCCACTGTTGCTGGTAATGTTCTCTAAATAAGGAAAAATATTTTTCCTATCAGCATGGTTTTGTGGAAAAGTAAGGAATGATTTTGCCAAGAACTTGTCTAGAGTCTTGAGGAAGTAGCTCAGCTTCAGTAAGCCTCAGTTTACTCAAGGTGATCTAAGATCGCTTTTTCTTCTCTTTCTTTTGAGACGGAGTCCCACTCTGTCACCCAGAGCTGGAGTGCAGTGTCCCCATCTTGGCTCACTGCAACCTCTGCCTCCTCGGTTTCTAGCGATTTTCTCTCAGCCTCCCAAGTAGCTGGGTTTACAGGCACACACCACCATACCCGGCTGATTTTTTTGTATTTTCAGTAAAGTTGGGCAGGCTGGCCTCGAACTCCTGACCTCAGGTGATCCGCCCGCTTCTGCCTCCCAAAGTGCTGGGATTACAGGCGTGAGCCACCGTGCGGGGACTAAGATCCCTTTTGCAAGGGCGGGGACTCCTTGAACTACAGACAAGTGCATGTCTTTTGTTCTTACTCCATCTAGTGGTACTTTTGCTTCTCCACATTTACAACATTTGTGGTGGTGCAGGGCCGTGAAGCAAGAATGGCCACAGACTGGGAATGTTTTTCTTTCATTTTTAAAAAGAAAACAGTGATTTAATACATTCAATTTAAAAATAAGTCCATAGTTGTTTTCTAGCTCATATTTGAAGTCGTCCCTCTGACATGTCTATTACAAACAGTCCAAAGGACAATTCTTAGTATTATAAACATTAAATATATTGTTTCTTTTTGGTAAAATGATTAAGTTATATAATTCTAGAGTAAAGACGGCCAGTCATCCTGGATGACCATACAGGTCATCCAGTGAGATAATTTATGTGAAAACTTTCTGTACATAATAATTATTGCAAAAGTGACTTCTTACTGCCACCGATTTGAGTGACTCTAGCAGATGAAGAAACTGCTGCGGAGAGGGGTTTTAGTTACTTGCCTAAGTTATTTACTTGCCTAAGTTAATTTTTTTGCAGAGTTGTGACCAGAAGCTAGGCTTCCCAAGTTCTAGTCCAGTGTTCTGTTCACTGTATTGCACCCTAAGTCTTTGTTGGTTAACCTGGGGCAGATGGTTAGCATTAACTCCATCGTCACTTTCTGGTTTAAAATAAAATAACCTCCTTAATGGTTGTAACCTTGGTTTCCACCCCACATCCACTCCCGCCCTAATACTCTTCGATGTGATTTTGTGCTGTGTGTGTTTCACTTTTTTACAAGTACAGTTGATTCTAGTTATTTGCAGTAGTTACATTCTGTGAAGCCTCTGTGAACACTGGATTAGTGAATACTGAACCATTGCTCCCAGAGGAATTACGGGATTAGGTTCCTGGGAACATTCGGTCACAACATTTTTGTCAAAGAATCGATACATAATCTTGTGTGTGTTTCTGTTAAAGACATCCTAAAGTATGTTGTTGATTCATTAGCACTGAACTCATATTCAACAACACTATCACTTAAGCCTGAATGAAGGCTAACACAAGTATTTTTTTTCTGTAAGACACATCACAGCTTTCTTGTGCTTAGGAACGCTAGACAGCACTTAAGCACTATGATTGGGGGTCATTTTAAACAGCACAGTCACCAACTAAAAGCATACAAATGTGAAAAACTTGCCATTAAATAGACCAGAAATAGGACACTTGTTTATAGTGTCCTTTTTGGACTACAAAGGCAAAAGAGAACCTATGTGTTGGGGAAATCAAACTTTTCAGGGCTCTGCACATGCCCATGAATGACTATGAAAGCACTGCAGGTATTGCTTTTGAGATTATAAACAATTTCGGTGACTAGGTGAATCCACAAATACAGAATCTATGAATATTGAGGGTTGACTGTACTTCAAGGTCTATGTGACAGCTGTATCTGAGAGAGACTACAGATGTCCACATGGTTCCTGAGGTACTTAGGGCTTGTTTCATGCCTTTTATATTATTTAAACCAGTGATTCTCAAAGGGGTATAGTGAGAGAAAGGGTATATGAAGTTTGCAAATGACGATACTTGTTCTCTTTATTTTGTTACTTAGGTTGTATTTCACATGAAGGATGTGAGAATTTTATGCGTATGAAGGAAGCATTAGCTTTAAAAATACTGAGAAACATGCTTTTTCTTTTGTCCTTCAGAATGAGGGGCTTCCTTTGTAAGGTCTGGAGTTGGTTATGGGTTTTGACTCTGAGGATGACATTGAGTTTTAATTCAGCTTGTCCTGGTTCTGCAGTCAAAAATTCCATGTTAGCCTGGCTCGAGACTTAAGAGACAAATAGATGGCACAGGCACAAGCGTGTGTACACATGCACCCACCGTCATACAAAGTGTAAGGGAGGAGTGGTTTTAAATAAGATGAGAATGAAGTGACAAAAGGTAACTGTCATTCCTTCATGTTCATTCTTTTAAGGTAATAATATGTGATGGAAGTAAAAACAGCGAAAATACCCAAGAATTAGCCCAGGATATGCAAATTTAAATGTCTGCAGTGGACAGAAAGGAAACAAAGAAGTGAATCACACTGGGAATAAGAAAATGGAGACTATAGAGATGGTAGGGAGAATGAGCTTCCCTTTTTAAGGAGGCAGCAATCTTACAGAAATTGAGCCTAAAATTGTCAGTATTGCAAGAGAAGACAAAAATTCAGATTTTTATGTCAACACCACTGATTATAGAATGTTGGTAGCTAAATTGAAATAAAATTTAAATATTATATAAGTGCATGGTAAAGAATTTGGATGGCTTTTGTTCCTGAACCCTGGGAAGTAGCCTCTAAACCCTTGGAATTCACCAAGAATGGTGGGAGTGTCTTTTCTTGGTAGGCCTCTTGGACTAGACCCAATAGTTTACACTAACGAGATGACTCATGACTGGGGGTTGGTCAGCCATGTGATTAGAGTGTTGGGGCTTTGGGCCCCATGATACTAGCCCGACCTCTTGAGAGACTTGGAGCCACATGTCTGAGCCTTATGACTAGTGATTCATCCAATCATGCCTGTAATGAAGCCCCAATAAAAACTCTGGACACACTGAAGCTTGGATGAACGTCCGTGGTTGGCAGTACTCAGTGTGCTAGGAGGAAAATGTGTCCCTGAGGACATGAGGAGAGGGACAATGGAACCTTCTTTCTGGGACCCTCCCAGACCTCACTCTATGTGTCTCTCCCTTTGGCTGGTTTTGATTTGAATCCTTTTGCTATAATAAAACCATAATAATAACTATAATAAACATCCTTTTGCTATGATAAAACTGTAATAAAACCGAAATAACACTTTCCTGAGTTCTCTAAGTCATTCTACTGAATTATGAAACTTGAAGGGGTAGTGGGAACCCCTAAATTTGTAGGCAGCTTGTCAGATGTAAGGATGGCCTGGGGACCTCCTAGCTTAGGTTGTTGATAGCTGAAGTCATTGCAATGCACCAATAAAAAAACGTTTTGAGATAAAATCTGGTCTATTATAGGCTATTAATTTGCGACCTTTGGCCTAGGCAAATTTAAGCATTCCTGAGTGCTTTCTCTAGAAGGGTGAGGGTTTGGACCATCCTACCAGTTTGAGGCCTACCCAAAATAAATGTATTTGAGAGGAGTTTACACTGGTGGTATCTGTTATAGGTTTCTGGGAATATCACTAAAGAGAAGTTTCAAAATTAAATTTTAATAATATTCTGAAAATAGTAGTGCTAATCCTTCACGTATAGGGGTTAGGGTATTTCTTCCAGTGGTTCTGCCTGAGGGGTGGGCCTGTTTTTCAGTGTCCATTCTGTCAGTCGTTATGGGATGTGAAGAGGGTTCCAAGGGTTCCACCATCACTAGGTGGAAATGAGGCAACTTTTCCCATATTTTTCCTTTACTCTGGTTTGTATCTCCCCTCCTAGGTAGGTATCAAAGTATATATGGTCTTCATTTGTGTTGCCTCAAATTCTCATTTCTTCCTTGATATAAAAAGGAAACAGGAAGACATTGAAATAAGGATATTATTGTGGTCCTGTACTTTTACCCTGTTCTAACCTAGCTGAGGGAATCTAGCATAAGTCACCCAACTTTACATTCCACATGTGTCAACCGGATGTACTAAGACTTCCCTTGAAGGGTGGTTGTGGGGAGAATATATGAGTAATATATATGACAGCAACTGGTATTATTAATGAGAGGAGAAGTCTGTCTTACTCTTTACTTTGCAAGTAATGATTTTACAGCGCTCTGATGGGTATGTTGTAGTTACTCTGGCAGGAAGTGGTTTTGACTTGGGTATATAGTTAAGAGATATATGGAGAAGGGTGGAAGTGCTAATGGTTTGTGAATTTTTAAAATAACACCAATTATGAACTTGATGCACACCTGCAGCTAGAATCTTTCTCTAGATGATGTTTGACTATCATTTTTTTTTTTTTTTTTGTCTTGGGGCTCTAGGTTTTCACTTTGGTGATATTTATGTGTGTACTATGGCTGTCTATATAAGTGTTAAAAGGCATAATTATAGTTATTAAAAACAATTTAAGGAAAACAGAAAAATGCAATAATGAAGAAATACAAATACTGACTTTTTTGTATGATCAATGAGGATATTATAACTAAAATGAAAAACATTATACATATCAGTTGCAAAAACAGTTACATTCCCCACAATCTTTTTAAAAAATGCGAGTAGTTTGCTAAAGTGAACTGGGTGACTTATTTTCAACCTTGGAAGAAAAACTCAATTAAAGCTACATTTGAACTGTAATGGCACCAAGGAGTTCAACTTGACCTCATATGCCAGATTATAATCATCTTTCAAGTGTACAAACAAGGAAGCATAGTTATCAAAGAATGAGAAATACGTTTGTTCAAAGACCATTTACTGCTTTAACAAGAGGTGAAAGCTTGCCAGAAATATATAAACACCTACCCCAGTGCTATTCATAGGCTTAACATGTTCAAAGACTTGGGGGCGGAGGGGGGGCAATTTAAAAATATCTTTGAAGTTGTGGGTATTCATCATCATATCTAATAATGCTTACTTTCTAGAGCCCCTCTCCAAGGAGGGCAAAGCAATTTATCTGACTTATTTTCATGACATCCTTGTGAGATAAGGCAACCACCATTATCTCCCTTCTGCAAATGGAGAAACTGAAACGTTGGGAGGTAAAATCACTTGAAGAAGGTCAGTAGCAGGCCTAAGAATGTAAATACACGCATTTTAGCTTTTAACTGCTATTTTACTTTACAGAAAACTAAACAAACAAAAAATAATTTTAAAAAAATCACATACTTTTTCATTCTCTTTTTAAGTTAAAGAATAATTACTCATCTATCAACTTTTCCTTGGTAAGGAAAACAGTTTAAATGGCTTTTCACAATAACTGGAATCTTATTATACTGGAATGAATGAACCACTTGCAAAGTTGTGATGTTCATTTAACAAACACTAAATACCTAGTCTGCAACATGTTGTATTGTTCAGGGTGTTGAGACTTCAAAGGTGAAACATATATTCCTCATCTTTAAAGGTCTTCCTGGAGAGAGAGATTCTATAAGCAAATTATATGGTGCAGTCTCATGTTATTTAAATTTACTAAATTCATCATTTTATCCCCCAAATCTATTTTTTCTTCCCTTTCCCCTTCCCGTAAATGCTACTGCTACACCCAGGAGCTAAAACCAGTCTTCTGGGCACCACTGCTGATGTCTCATTTTCCCCGCACCCTGCCGTGTCCTCTGGTCTATTTTTTTTTTTTTTGAGATTGGGTCTTGCTCTGTTTCCCAGGCTGGAGTGCAGTGGTGTGACATAGCTCACTGCAGCCCTGAGGCTGAGGTGCGAGGGTCACTTGAGCCCAGGAGTTAGCACAGAGGCAAATGCTAAGTAATCTAATTAATAATGCTTTCTAATTTTTTCAGTTACAAAATTAATGTGACAATATCATAAAAAAAGGTGAGAAATAGAGGGACTACAGATGTGCACCGCCAGCCTAATTTTTAAAATAATTTTTTTGAGAGTCAGGAGCTTGCTATATTGCCCAGGCTGGTCTTGAACTCTTGGCCTCAAGTGATCCTCCCACTTTGGCTTCATTTCTACTACCTTAATCTAGTTCACTATCTTTTTTTTTTTTTTTTTTTTTTTTTGGAGAGAGAGTCTTGTTCTGTTGCCCAGGCTGGAGTGCAATGGTGTGATTTTGGCTTACTGCAACCTCCACCTCCCAGGTTCAAGTGATTCTCCTGCCTCAGCCTCCCAAGGAACTGGGATTACAGGCACGTGCCACAACGCCCAGCAATTTTTGTATTTTTAGTAGAGATGGGGTTTCACCACGTTGGCCAGGCTGGTCTTGAACTCCTGACCTCAGGTGATCCACCTGCCTTGGCCTCCCAAAGTGCTGGGATTACAGGTGTTAGCCACTGCCCCAGCCCAGTTCACCATCTTCTACAAAGACCTGACAGGTCTTTCTACTTCTTATCTTGCCTCACACCCATTACCAATTCATTCTTCACAACGGAACTAGAGTGATCTTATTAAAAGGCTAACTGAGCCATGTTTTTTCTCTTCACAACACTTTAGTGACTTCATGTTGCACTTGGAATAAAATCCAAAATTCTTATCAAGGCTTTGTATAATCTGGCCCCCTGCTTACCCCTCTGTGTCCCCACCCAAATCTCAACTTGAATTGTATCGCCCAGAATTCCTATGTGTTTTGGGAGAGACCCAGGGGGAGGTAATTGAATCATGTGGGCCAGTCTTTCCCATGCTATTCTCGTGATAGTGAATAAGTCTCACGAGATCTGATGGGTTTATCAGGGGTTTCCACTTTTGCTTCTTCTCTCATTTTCTCTTGCTGCCGCCATGTAAGAAGTGACTTTTGCCTCCCACCATGATTCTGAGTCATCCACAGCCAGGTGGAACTGTAAGTCCAATAAAATCCCTTTTTCTTCCCAGTCTCGGGTATGTCTTTACCAGCAGTGTGAAAACAAACTAATACACCCTCTTCTTTTCTTGCACTGTGCTTCAGCCACACCAGCCTCCTTTGTACCAAACTCTCATCCTGGGTTCTCTGCTTAAATTGCACTTGTAGTTCCTGGCCCCTTCTCTCCTCCTCAAGTCTTAACTTAGATATCACCTCCTCAGAATCCTCTCTGACCCCCTTTTGAAGCAGGTTACCCCTCCTCTTATGATCTTCTGTTGATTACCTTTATAACATGTTTTCCTAATTTGCAATAAATTATTTGCTTATCTGTGTTCTTCACTGGGTTATAAGGATAGGGGCAGAACCCAAGTCATTGAGTTCATTGACAGATCCCAGGTGCCTAGTACATAACAGGTGCTCAATAATTGTTTGTTGAATGCATGATGGAGTGCTGTTGGGGCAGAGAACAGACCAGCTAATTGTAACTATGATTTCACCAGCACAGAGGCAAATGCTAAGTAGATATCTGTAATTAATAGTGCTTTCTAATGTTTTTCAGTTACAAAATTAAAATTTAGGTCATTATTTGGTACATTTCTTTCCAGTCTCTCTTTGTACCTGATGTATATATTTTATACCTGTCTCTTTTTATACCTGATATATATATTTTAGACAATTATATGTCAAATTCTGCTTTTTTATTTAGTAATAAATTATAAATATTATTCCATGTTATTACAGAGCCTTCAGAACCATTATTTAATATTGTTGCCTAATGTTCCATTTAATGGATGTATCATAATCTATGTAACACTTCACCTACAGATGAATATTTAACTTGTTTTCAATTTTTTTACTGCTATCGTGAATAACTATGCACAAATTTTTTTATGTTTTTAGATTGTTCCTTTACTTAATTACTAAGGGTGCATCACTAACCCAAAGGGTAGTATTTTGTTTGAAGGAGAATTGTCCAGACTTGTATAGAACCTCTGGGTAATCTACCTATGTTACTTTCTCTTCTGGAATTTCCCAAAATAGAATTTATCTTGATCACTATGTATATCTGGTTGTCAACAGGACTAGATCTGGCCACAGCTGCAAACCTTGAGTAGCTATGCAGATTGAATCATTCAATCGTTTCCAGAGTCCTTCTACTACTAAAATAAAGGACACATTATATCTTCTCTGTCTTATCTTTCCTCATCTTCTTTCCTGCCTTGCTTTCCCTGCCAAAAGTTTTGATAAAGCAGGAGGTAAAGATGGCAGGGAGAGAGATAATGGCTAAAAACACAGAATCTGTTTCTCAGAGTTGTGTGTGTGTGTGTGTAGTATTAAGTCACGGGGGTCAAGGGTATCAATGCAGAGGCTGAATACATACATAGTGGTGCCTCTCCTGCATCACACCCTCCTCCTGCATTCAGTTGCAGCCATGCATCATAGGTAGGATGGATTGACTCTTGCCTGTATCCAAGGATGGTTCTAATCCCCTCTCTTGCCATCATGATTGGTTCTGGGATGGCTTCATCAGAACAAAGTGCTGAACTTCAGTTTAATGGCTGAGTGAAGTAAGAGTTTTCTCCCCTTTAATGGGAATGAAGACGTTAGTAACTAGTGTTGCTCCTATCAGTCACTTGCAACTAAGAGGGAGGCCAGTTTGAGGACAGAGTCAACTCACAAAGAAGGGCAAAGCCCAGGGAAACACAGAGAAAGAGAGGTGGAGCTCTGCCTTTGGACTTTCCAAAATGTGTGAGCTTGCCCTGCCTTTCGACTTTTCAAATACATGAGCTGATGAATCACCTTGATTGTTTTAGCCAGTTAGCGTCAGGGGTTTTGTTGCTTCACTCAAAAGTACCTTAACTGATGCAGGAAAATTGGCATGACTGCTATATGATTGCTATCTTACCAAATAATTGTATTGTGGCACTGTCCTAGAAGAGAGGTTAGCGTGGTTTCTGTCCTAGAAGGAAATGTTCTCTACAACACAGGAGGCATGCCTCAGAGACTTCTGGGACCAGCTCTTCTCCCAATTTGTACCCCTCTTCCCTGGATACAATGACAGATGGCATTGTAAAGACAGGACATGCAGCTTTCAGAGGCTATATTTGCAAGTAAATTTTCTCCTATTTGAGACCCTTTGCAACTACCAAATACCATGGACATGGTTTGTGATTATTTGTAATATTAAATAGGAAAGGCACAGGGGCTGTCATTCTGGGGCAGAACAAATCTTGTTTACAGCCCTGTGCTATTCGGGGATGTAGGCCCCAAAACTAGGAAGCTGGGGGCCAGGCGCAGTGGCTCACGCCTATAATCCTAGCACTTTGGGAGGCCGAGGTGGGTAGATTACTTGAGGTCAGGAGTTCGAGACCAGCCTGGCCAACATGGTGAAACCCTGTTTCTACTAAAAATACAAAAAAATTAGCCAGGCATGGTGGCACATGCATGTAGTCCCAGCTGCTTGGGAGGCTGAGGCAGGAGAATCGCTTGAACCCAGGAGGTGGGGGTTGCAGTGAGGCAATTACACCACACTGCACTCTGGCCTGGGCAACAGAGAGAGACTTTGTCTCAAAAAAAAAAAGGAAATTGGGACACAGAGCGTGCTCGGAATATTTATTCTCAGAGGTGAAAGACTTTTTCTTTTTTGTGTATGTGTCCAATGTGTAGCTTTTCAATAATGAGATATACAATAATAAAAACTCACAGTTCTCTCACCTTTCTCCATCTTCCACTCCCACTTTTCCTTTTCTCAGTAGAAGCTCTCACCTTATTTGGTTGCTTGTTTATTACAGACAGATTCATGTGATTGATGTATAACTGATAGGAGAATATCTATCTAGTTAAATATTTGTCTTAAAGTTAATCTTTAAAAAGTGACTGTTAAAAAGATAATTAAGTAAATGTTATTTGATAGCTGTCCAAAGTGTCATTCCTGTTATGGAATAAATCTTTCTTTGGTATTCATTGCAACAACCTGACTATAGCAAAAATAGCACTGCTGTTGATAATCCTTCTGAGTGTTTGACTTCCACATTCAAAGGTCTCCTCTCTCTATCAGACAGAATGGTGTTCCTTAACCAGAAAGATTGGGCTGGGCTCAGTGGCTCATGCCTGTAATCCCAGCACTTTGGGAGACTGAGGCAGGTGGATCACCTGAGGTCAGGAGTTCAAGACCAGCCTGACCAACATGGTGAAACCCCGTCTCTACTAAAAATACAAAAAAAAAACAAAAAAAACAAAAACCAAAAAAACACACACACACAAAATTGGCTGGGCATGGTGGCACAAGCTTGTAATCTCAGCTACTCAGGAGGCTGAGGCAGGAGAATCACTTGAATCCAGGAGGTGGAGGTTGCAGTGAGCCGAGATTGCGCCATTGCACTCCAGCCTGGGCAACTCCATCTGAAAAAAAAAAAAAAAAAAGAAAAGAAAGAAAGAAAGATTGTTTTACCTGTTCATTAGTGTAATTTTCTCTGGTGCAAGATATGGAATTAAAACAGGGTTATACAGATAGCAAGTATCAAAGGAGAAGAATGGAGGAAATGGTTTGAATTCACCAGTTCTCTCGACTTTTCTCCACTCGTTCTTACCTTTTTCCTGGTGTTAACTCTGACCTTTTTTGGTTGTTCAACCTTCATCTCAGAGATTCTGTTGCTGATTTTTTAAATAGAGGACAAAGATCCAGCTATAGTATTCTCAATTTTGTAGTATTTATGCCACTATTTTCCAAAAGTATTCTGCATGGTATTTGTTTATTTTTTCATCTGCTTATTCATGTATCCATTCATCCAATAAAGAATTACTGTTTTATTAAAAGAATATGCAATAGTTACCAATATTAAAGGTTTTAAAATTCAGAAATATAATGCCACAGTTAACAAAGTATTAATTATTTAAATGAGGACTTAATACATTAGAATGCCATCACTAGTAAAATATAAGTATTTAGGTGTTAAAACTGAATATTAGAATTTTTGAACTATATAAACTCAACATTAATGCTTTGAAAGAGTTATTATTAAGCAACAGATATTGCAGAACAGACTTCAGACATAGCTCTCTAAAAAGTTCTTGCTAAGCTGTAACAAAATGTTGCTTCTTTTGCTATCTATATACAGCTGCTTGCTTTAAATTAGTAGATTCTGAAACAGCTTTCCTTGCATGTCTAAAATAAAAGTATTGCGTGTAAAAAAAAAAAAGAATTACTGAGCTCCTGCTAAGTGCCAACATTATGCCAGGTGCTGGGAATGCCAGGCACCAGGGCAACTAAACTTCAATATCCCCGAAGTTTGGCAGTAAACTAGAAGACAGACAGTGCGAAGTAAACTAGTAAATATATAATTCCAGAGTGTGAAGGAAATGAACAGGGTTTTACGCCATAGCACAATGGGCAGGGGAGAAGGACTTAAATAGTATTTTCAAAAATTCCAGTTTGGACAATACATTATATAGTCATCCTGTCTATTGGTAAGAGTAGTTTTGGTGGACTGGGGAGGCAGAAAGCCAGAACGCAGTAGATTGAGAATTGAGGTGTAGGAATTAACGGAGAGATGGTAGATACAGATAGTTCTTTAGTTTATGAAGGAGAGGAGAGAAATAGGAGAGTTAGCTGACAGGGTAATGAGTTGAGTAATGCTTTGAATAACCATGTTTATGTGCTGATAGGAAGGGATCTGAAGAACAAAAAAGGTTGATGACTGGAACTGGAGAAAGGTTTCTAGGAAGGCAGTACAGCAGAAGAGGGATTTTCCATAGAAAAGAAAAGAGCAAAAGGGAAGGAAATGGGCCATCAGATACAGGTCAGTTTAAAGATTTCATGGTAGGGAGTTAAGGGGGTTCATATCTTATGGCTTCTTTTTTCTCTGAAGTTAGAGCCTGGGTCATGTGCAAGGGTTTCTTTATTCTTCTAACACTCAAACTACCTTTATTGATTGTTTTAAGGTGATTGTCTTATTTTATTAGTACAAAACACTGTATTATAGCTACTATTACTGAATTTTATATAGGATAAATTGAGGGTAAGCAAGATCTGTGACACAGTCCCTTAAGCAATGTTACCTCTGTCCTTGCAACCTTCCTGATCCATTTTATTTATCAAACTTCTCTCTTTTTCACTCTTTAGTTGTAGAGTGGGAAGGGATAAGACACAGCCATTCTTCCACTGCACTGAAATTAGAGTTTTAGCTTGAGTATCTGACCTGATTCCTCCTTTGGAAGCCCTCCCATAGTTTTAGTTATAATGCTGTGTTTTCTAATTTAAAAACCAACTCTTGGTCGGGCATGTTGGCTCACGCCTGTAATCCCAGCACTTTGGGAGGCCGAGGCAGGTGTATCATCTGAGGTCAGGAGTTCGAGACCAGCCTGGCCAACATGGTGAAATCCCATCTCTACTAAAAATACAAAAATTACCTGGGCTTGGTGGCAGGTGCCTGTAATCCCAGCTGGTAGGGAGGCTGAGGCAGGAGAATCACTTGAACCCGGGAGGTGGAGGTTACAGTGAGCCGAGATCACACCATTGTACTGCAGCCTGGGTGACAGAGCGAGACTCCATCTCAAACAAAAACAAAAACAAACAAACAAACAAAACAAAAAAACAACACTTGTTTCAACAAATATGAGTGCAGTAATGGGGAGACTGTGACTTGATATGCGAAATTTGCACTGGCCCAGAGAAATCTGATTTATTGTCCCCACAAGTAGAAAGTGCACTGAATTGAAAGATAGAATATCTGGGCTTAAATCTCAGTTATGCCGTGTAGTTTCTCAGTGACCTTGGGCAATTCACTTAAACTTCAGCCTTTATTTCCTCGTCTCTAAAATGAGGCTATTAATATCTGCTCTCTCTAACTCACAAATATTTGTAAAGATTAGATTAGGCAAACCATGTGAAAGTGTACTGCTATGCAAATTTAAGGTGTACCACTTACTTCCTTAAAAGAAATATTTAGAGTCATCTATTCATGTTCTGAGAATGGGAATAAAGGAAATTCATCTAAAACCATGACAGTGATCTGATCCTGATGTTAGAGTGAAATCTTGGACAAAATATGAAATACAAAGAAGGATCTAGGCTGGGCGTGGTGGCTCATGCCTGTGATTTCAGCACTTTTGGAGGCCAAGGCAGGTGGATCACCTGAGGTCAGGAGTTCGAGACCAACATGACCAACATGGTGAAACCCTGTCTCTACTAAAAATACAAAAATTAGCCAGGCATGGTGGCACATGCGTGTAATCCCAGCTACTCAGGAGGCTGAGGCATGAGAATTGCTTGAACCCGGAAGGCAGGTTGCAATGGAGATTGCACCACTGCACTTCAGCCTAGGCAACAGAGCAAGACTCTGTCTCAAAAACAACAACAACAACACCATCAACAAAAAAAGAAAAACAACAACAACAACAACAACAAAAAGACCTAAAGAAGAATTTCAGTCAGTTAGAATTCAACTAACCAAAACACTTAACTAACCAGGATTAATTTTTAAATTTTCTGATTTTAAACCCCCAAAAGAAATGTTTTAGATTTATCCTGAGAATATACTGTGGCCATAAGGGGTAAGTATGAGGATGGCAGGCAGAGGGAGATGGAATGGGTGGTGTCCTTGACTTGCTCTGCTGCTATTGTTCTGCCGCTATTTTGACTTGCTCTGGAATTCCCTGTCCTTAGACTTTATTGTGTCATATTATAATTTTTTTTTTTTTGGGGGGCAGAGTCTCATTCTGTTGCCCAGGGTGGAGTGCAGTGCTGTGATCTCGGCTCACTACAACCTCCACCTCCTGGGTTCAGGCGATTCTCCCGTCTCGGCCCCCCGAGTAGCTGGAACTACAGGCATGCACCACCACACCTGGCTAATTTTTTGTATTTTTAGTAGAGATGAGCTTTTGCCATGTTGCCCAGGCTGGTCTCAAAGTCCCGAGCTCAGGCAATCTGCCCGCCTCAGTCTACCAGAGTGCTAGGATTACAGACATGAGCCACTGCGCCCAGCCTATAAATTTCTTTTTGTTTGTTTGAGACAGGATCTTACTCTTGCCCAGGCTGGAGTGAAGTGGTGCAATTACGACTCACTTGCAGCATCAAACTCCTGGGGTCATAAGATCTTTTCGCCTCTGCCTCCCTGGTAGCTGGGACTACAGATGCATGCCACCACGTGGCAGTATTTTTTATTAGTAGAGACAGGTTCTCGCTATGTTGCCTAGGCTGCTCTTGAACTCCTGGGCTTAAACAATCCTTCAGCCTCAGCCTCCCAAAGTGCTGGGATTACAGGTGTGAGCCACCTCACTTGCCACATTACATATTTCTTTATCATGTGAGGCTTTCAGTTGTGTTACTGTTATTGCAGTCAAAAGCATCCTAACCAATACATTAGCCTCTACTAATCTTATGTAAGGTAATCTCAATCTTTTATTCTCATCAAAGATAGTCTACTATAGCAGGTCTTTGAGCTCTTCCTGGCTAGAACTGATACTCAAAGGCCCAGGGCTTCACAGGAGCAGCAGACAGCAAAAAATAGATAAGCAAAAAGTCTGTTTTTCTAAAATCAGATTCATGCACTGCCCTTGCTCCATAATTCTGCTGACCTCCCAATAGCTGACTCTGGTTGCCTGAACTTAGGCATATTTCTGCCCTTTGTTGCTTCTGTTGGTTTTCTTGAACTCGGCCATATATTGTCTAAATTGCTGCTTCTATTTGACCTTTCCTATTTGTCTAGACTCCTACCTGGAGCTGGCTTGTTGTAAATGGTCTTATCCCATTGTCAACCCCACCTCAATGTGATACACCTTTATTTTTTAACTTCGCCTTAAACCACCTACAGAGGATGAGTCATAATGTTTGCTGACTTGATCATACACGTTTCATCCTTCCCTTTGCTTTCATCTCTGAATCCCTCACAACACATGTAACTTAGAAACTACCAGTAACCAGAATCTTGCTGAACTGAAGAGTCTTTCATCAAATCATATATCACGTCATATATTTTTTTCTGTATGAGCCTTGAGACTGGCTTATTCTAGATCCACTCTCAGTTGCCCAGTTACAAACCTTAGCCACTTCCTATTCTCTTATCCCATCACAGTCTCCAATACACCCCCTGATCATCTTAACCTAAGTAAAAACTGTTCAATTTTCTCCTGCATTCTCAGTTCTATCCAGCCCAGCTTCCCTTTTCCTTATTCGATAACTGGCATAATTGTGCATTTCATACCTAGGAATCCTACTGGTTCTGTGTATAATAAAGCAGGAAATTATTCTGGTGCTATTCTGAAGTCATTGAAAGGTTATAAAGATCTACATGTGGGATAAAATGACATAGAACTATATCAGGGTTAATTAATTTGCCAAATCCCATAGTTGATTATGGCAATGCCAGATTCAACCCTAAGTCTACTTGTCACCAAAGTCTGGACTGCTAATCACCATAATTCCCATGTCTTACTTTCAAAATGGGGATAAAATAATACTTAACTTGAAAGATTGGCCTTATTCAATTTCTGGAAAAACTAAACATACATTTACAATGTATCCCACCAATCATACTCCTAGACATCTATCCCAGAGAAATGAAAACTTATGTTCATACAAAAACCTTTACACAATTGTTCATAGCAGTTTTATTTTTAATAGCCCCAAACTAGAAAAAAAGAAAAAAAAAGTTCTTCAGTGGGTGACTGATTAAACAAACTGTGGTACATCCATACCATGGAATATCACTGAGCAATAAAAAAACAAACTATTGATACATGCAACAGCTTGGGTGCACTTCCAGCATTATGCTAGGTGAAACAAACCAATCACACAAGGTCACATACTGGATGATTCAATTTACATGACATCTTCAAGATAACAACATTGTAGAGATGGAGAATAGCTTAGTGGCTGCCAGGGAATAGGGGTGGTGGAGGGAAGGGGGCTGTAACTGTGAAGGGGTAGCATGAGGGAGATGTTCGTGGTGATGAAATAGTTTTTTATCTTAATTGAATTCGTGGTTACGTAAATTGACTGGTGTGATCAAATGACAACTACACATGTGTTGTACCAGTGTCAATTGTCTCCTTTTGATATTGTGCTATAATTATGTAAGATGTCCCCTTTAGGGGAGATGAAGTGAAGGGTACATGGAACTTCTCTGTACTATGTTTCCAACTTCCTATGAATCTATAGTTATTTCAAAATAATAAGTTGAAAAAAGTAGCCTTATTGACTTTTCTCTCCCTCCTTACTCTGTCTTCCCCAGTCCATCTTGTCACTCCGTCAGACACCAGGTAATATGAGACTCTGTTCTTTCCTTCTTTTACCCCTATCCCCATCATCTAAGCAGTCTTGAAGTCCTGTCCATTTCATCCCTGTGTGGCATCTCTCCAGTCTGACTGCCCCTCCCCACCTTCTTTGCTCTGGGTCAGACCCCCTAGTCTGACCTTCTGCAATAGCTCCCTGCTGGTCTCCTATCTTTCACCTATCTTGTACAATGCTGGTGACCTCTTTAAAATAGAAATCATATCCTATTACTTCTCTGCCCAAGAACAGTTGGTTGTTCCTTGACACCTGTGGTTTCGAATCACCTCCTTGCTGCGGCGGACAAGAGACTTCATTCAGTTCCTGTTCTGCATTCCTCTTATAAGCAATAGATCTGGATGTACTGGAGGCTCATGTTCCCGTTTTTGGTAGATGAGTAGAAAGTTGGCTCAGCAAGTTAGAGTTAGCCCACTAGAACAGGTGGATGCCAGTTTCTGGGCTGCAGAGACCCGACCCTCCCTTTCTATCAAGCTACTTCTGTGACCACGGGACATCCAAGTGCATAGATGTTCCCTGTTCCCTACAGGATTGTAGGGCAGGGTCCCTTTCTACTGCACTGTTAGCCATGGACATGTGGCCCATCTACACAGGGCCGAAACTGTGGGATAATGAGAGTTCAGGGGATTGCGGACACTCTGCTCCTTCTCTGCTTGTAAGCTTTCCTTTTATCACCTTTATTTTTTACCTTCCCTATGTGACACTAGGCATATATGCCCAGGACACCTCTGCCTGACACTTCCTCACCAGACTCACCTGCTGATACTCAGTGAGCCTGTGGTATCCCATAATGATCTGTGGTTTTCAGAAAATGTCCCTTCTCTGCTAGATCATGTGCTATTTAGTTTTCGATTACTTACACCTTCCTGGATCCTGGCTGTGTCCCTCCAAGCAGAAACAGAGCTACTGTGTTTCATTTTACTTAGCGCCCCTTCATTCTTCTATCATGGGACATCTAACATTGTTTTAAAATCCAGCTGTGAGGTTTGCTTCCCTTTCACCTCCCCAGACTGTGAAGCTTTTTGAAAGATGGGATACCTTGTCTTTTAGCTTTGTATTCCTGAAGCTTGCGAGAACCTCGCACAGGGTTGGTATTTAGTACACATATGTTAAACGAGCAAATTTTGACATGCATGAGAGCATTTTATGAACAGTAAATGCTATACCAGCCTTAGTTATGATGACAATATCTTAATGAAGCCAGCAGAATAAATCATAATGGTTGGAACCGGAGCTGTCAATATAGCAAAATCAGTTACCAATTTTAAAAACATCAGCCCCTTGACACACACACAGATATACACACAGACACATCCTCCATAGTGCATAGTGTGTAGTCAGCTTTCATACTTGGCCTAATACACTGCAAAGATTAAAGGTCTTTTTCCCTTTTCTTCGCAGACATTCATGGTGGGGGCTTGTTCCTCACAATCCACACATTACGCTTCACATTCGCGTCATTCGAATACAAGATAGCTGTTACAGGACGTGGTGTGGTGCTTGGTGTGGTGGTTGACAGAGTTAAATAAATATTTTTTAGAGGGGAAAATACTTTTTTATGTGCAAAAACAACTGAATTTCGGCCACCAAATCATTTCCTCCAGCTCAACACCAGCCACCAGAATAAAGACAGGTCATTCCTCACATTGATTGATCTGAGGCTCAGAGCTCTGTCTCCCTTTCCTAGTGGGAGAGGTTGTGGGAGAAGTTGAACATGGCTGGGTTCTCTGACTCAGATGCATTGCTTTTATGGTAGCATTTTGCCCTAAAGGGGCTTTCTGTAAATTTGAGCTTAAGTATGTACTACTAGAGGCCTAAAGAAGGCTAAGTGGTAGCTACTCTATTTTTCAAAAGAATATTAATAGCTAAATGTAAAGTTAAAAACTGACTTTGGGCCGGGCGCGGTGGCTCACGCCTGTAATCCCAGCACTTTGGGAGGCCGAGGCGGGTGGATCATGAGGTCAGGAGATCGAGACCATCCTGGCTAACAAGGTGAAACCCCGTCTCTACTAAAAATACAAAAAAAATTATCCGGGCGCGGTGGCGGGCGCCTGTAGTCCCAGCTACTCGGGAGGCTGAGGCAGGAGAATGGCGTGAACCCGGGAAGCGGAGCTTGCAGTGAGCCGAGATTGCGCCACTGCAGTCCGCAGTCCCACCTGGGCGACAGCGAGACTCCGTCTCAAAAAAAAAAAAACAAAACAAAACAAAAAAAAACTGACTTTGCCATGAGTGTTTCCAGTGATTTTTATGATAAAACACATTAACCTATTCATAAGGTAAATTTTGAAATGAAGTTAAGGTAATTAAAAAGAGACATTACTTATATTTCTTCTCGATTGCAGCAGCTAATATTGTGGGCCAAATGGAACTCAGTAAAACATGATTTGCTTTCAACTTTAATCGAAACTAAGAATAATTACTCACAGCAATTTTTCTGATTTTAGAGAAGAAAGTTTTCTGGTTTATTATGCTTTTTCTTCTCTTTAGTTCTCAAATTACAAATGCTAAATAGCTGTATAAGTAAAAAGAAACTGACTACTTTCATAAAGTCATTTTTTTTTCCATTTTAAATTTATGATCTGTCAAGACCTCAAGAAGGCTGAAAACTTTTGGCTTAACTCTTTTATTTTTTCTCAACAGTAGATGGCAATATCTGTTCACCTGTAGCAAAAAGCCCACTCACATGAATAACTGCAGACTTAGATTTTTTTTTCTCCCACTCTGTAAAGTGAAATCAGCCTATTTAAAATTGTAAATTGAAGACAGAAACAGTTTGCAAGTTTGTACAATATTACTTTTTAAATGTTGGTTGAAGGAGTACAAAAGTATGTGAGTACTTTTGTACTATGAAAACTATGCCTTCTTTCACTCCAGGGTAGACAAGGAGAGCAGCTCCAGAGAAGGCTGCTGAATGCAGTGAACAAAGAGAACCTGTGGGTAGATGGTCTGTGGCAGGAGCAAGAGAGGATAAGCTAGCAGGTTTTAGTTTGTTCTGTTAAAGTTTATGCTCAGATCTTGTTATATACCCATAGAGGTTTTTTGCTTACATTTAAAAAAATCCTGAAGTGTGCTTTTTGCCTAGAAATTTGTAAGCTTTTCACATTTTTTATATCAAGAAATAAAGCAAGAAATAAATAAAACAATGCCAATTTTGTACCCAAGGCTAACATTTACTCTTTCCTTCTCAAAGGAGTAGTGGGGGAGGGGTGAAGACTAGTCTTTGGGAGAGGTTTCTCTTAGATCTGATCCTCTTGTTGGTCCCCTCAACCCGAGCAGTTACACTTTATAAAGTGCATTTCTCGCGTTGGTAAGTAATGGCACCACAGTTTCAAAAATTTCAAAAATTACAGGTGAAGACCTAAACAAAATAGCTGCTCTACAGGTTAAACAGCTTTACTTTTGTGATACAACAATAAATGAGCTTTTTAAAAAAGGGATAATATATAGTCTTATCCTCCACATCTTAAGTATGTACAAAGGAATATCATCTATTCCTTTGAACGCCTAATTATTATAATATTGTGCAGTATGATGAGAGAACATTGGCATATCTCCTGTAACTCTCTAGCTTTTATTTTTCCATAATGAGTGTTATCCTTCATTGACATATACCTTTAATATGTAACATTTGTTACTAAGTTGATTGTTTATCGGCTGTAACTTTTGCTTTTGTATTGCAAAACAAGTCATTTATTCGTCAAAATCATTCCATTGACAGTTTGCTCTTTGGAAGACTGTGGATGGGAAAACAGCTCTTTGCAGACAAAACTGCTAGGAGGTAGGACAAGAGTCTACCACTGCATTCCCGAACATTAAACCGGAAACAAAATGCAATGAAAAAGAAAAAGTGGGTCACATCTGCTGGTATCAAATAGGTTTAGTTTCCATGACATCATGCTGATTAAGACTTCAGACACACATTAGTATTGGGCTACTTTTCATTAAAAAATGACTGTTTCCTTGTTCCTATAGTTGAGGACCAGCCTCTCAGAATCTGACTATAATCCTTTTATAATCCTTTTGAATTTCTTTTTTATTTTTATTTTTTATTTATTTTTTTCTTTTTAGACAGTGTCTCACTCCGTTGCCCAGGCTGGAGTGCAGTGGCGTGATCTCAGCTCACTGCCACCTTTGCCTCCCAGGTTTAAATGATTCTCCTGTCTCAGCCTCCTGAGTAGCTGGGATTACAGGTATGTGCCACCACACCCGGCTAAGTTTTGTATTTTTAGTAGAGACGGAGTTTCACCATGTTGGCTAGGCTGGTCTCAAACTCCTGGCCTCGGATGATCCATCTGCCTCAGCCTCCTAAAGTGCTGGGATTACAGGTGAGAGCCACTACACCCGGACAAATTTCTTTTTTTTAAAGGATAAAAGTGATTCACTTTAAGTAGTTAGATTTTTTTTTCTTTTATAACACTCCTTCTTGCACACTGAATTAGTTAGATTTTTAAAAATAAATATTTTGGCCAGGCGCGATGGCTCACACCTGTAATCCCAGCACTTTGGGAGGCCGAGGTGGGTGGATCATCTGAGGTCAGGAGTTCAAGACCAGCCTGGCCAACATGGCGAAACCTGTCTCTGCTAAGAATACAAAAATTAGCCAGGCGTGGTGGTGCGTGCTTATAATCCCAGCTCCTCGGGTGGCTGAGGCAGAAGAATTGCTGGAACCTGGGAGGCGGAGGTTGCAGGGACCCAAGATTGTGCCACTGCACTCCAGCCTGGGTAACAGAGCGAGACTCCGTCTCAAAAAAAAAAAAAAAAAGTTTTGAGGAGTCAAGGAGGAATGAGCTATAAGCTATTTCTAGGTCATTTTGTGTTGGTGGCTGTTTATTTCAGCAGAAAATTCCTCAGGATTCTGAAGATTTACATTGATAGTTGAATTTCTATTAGAGAACAAATCCCATGAAAGTTTGTCCGTCTAACTCTCTCATTATTTAAGAACGCTACAGCATGTAAGGTTTACTGAATGCAGGCACTGCATAAATAATGTAACCACATTCCATGAAGTTTTGATGGGTTTATGGTCAAATGAAAGGAATTATTTTGGCTATTTCTTGGTGGATGTTTTCCATAGAGTGAGCTTGTGTTTCTCTCATTATTTCGTGTGTGGTGATGGCTTTCGCAGTGGAAGCTTACCTATTTTTAGGATCACTGGACACCTGGCCAGCTTTCCTATTTATAACAAGTCTTTCTTCAGGCAAAGAACCAAATTTCATCATTTCTTTTGTCATATTAATATGCCTGTAAATGAATGCATTATGGTACTACTATTCTTAGGAATATAATGAATATGTATATCTATGTATTTTTCATCACAGGAAACAGCTTGAATTTCTTGATAACACATGGAACTCTCATTTGTCTTGTTTCACAACAGCCTTTTGCTGTTTACCTGGTTTTATGGCCTCTACTATGTACAAAGACCCAAGTGTGAACCTAAGAACAGGCCTTATGATTGTAAGCTCCCTTGACATCAGAATACATTAAAGGTTTAATTTGATATCATGCATCTGTAGGCAGCTTTGAATAAACAGAGTGTGATGGTTGTGAGTGTGAACTGGTAAATCTTGGTAATTTCTCTTCATTTCTATTCACACTTATCTCAAATTCTCCAAGGTGGGACATTTATCTGCATGTTTCCAAGGTGTTCAATTAATAAATGAGAAGAATTAAGGCTAATATGATCATTTCATGTCTTAATTTAACTCTTTTTTTTTTTTTTTTTGAGACAGAGTCTCGCTCTGTCGCCCAGGCTGGAGTGCA
Organism: Homo sapiens; assembly: GCF_000001405.40. Classification (NCBI taxonomy): domain Eukaryota; kingdom Metazoa; phylum Chordata; class Mammalia; order Primates; family Hominidae; genus Homo; species Homo sapiens. Next base: position 169,741,674 of record NC_000003.12, on the reverse strand, counting down.
GTGGCGCAATCTCCGCTCACTGCAAGCTCCGCCTCCCGGGCTCACGCCATTCTCCTGCCTCAGCCTCCGGAGTAGCTGGGACTACAGGCGCCAGCCACCACGCCCGGAGAATTTTTTTTTTGTATTTTTAGTGGAGACGGGGTTTCACCGTGTTAGCCAGGATGGTCTCGATCTCCTGACCTCGTGATCCACCCGCCTTGGCCTCCCAAAGTGCTGGGATTACAGGCGTGAGCCACCGCGCCCGGCTTTAACTCTTTTAAACAGACTGCTGGGAGGAAAAAGTGCCATTTTCATTAAAAAAATTCCTGTTATTTTTTCATTGTATTTGTCATGTTACAGATTGAATATCTCTAAGTAATTTATCACAAGCAATCTGGTATTTGATCACTTACCCAAATAACATATATCCAAATTTAAATTTAGGTGAATAATATTTAAAATGTTAATTTGTAATCTCTTCAGGGCTTGCTCAAGCCACAGGTGCCCCTCTCTAATATATATATATATATATATATACACACACACACACACGGGGAGAGAGAGAGAGACTCACTCTGTTGCCCAGGCTGGAGTGTAATGGCACAATCTCAGCTCACTGCACTCTCTGCCTCCTGGGTTCAAGCGATTCTCCTGCCTCAGGAGAGGTGCCACCACGCTGGACTAATTTTTGTATTTTTAATGGAGATGGGGTTTTGCCATGTTGGTCAGGCTGGTCTCGAACTCCTGACCTGAAGTGATCCATCCACCAAAGTGCTGGGATTACAGGTGTGAGCCACCATGCCCGGCCTCTATTCATAATAACTATCTTCTGTTAAGGTGCCTCCATTTGATGCCCCTTATGTGTCATCTCTCCCAGCTTTGTCCTCTAATCCCTTTGGTCAACCCTGGGCGCTAGGCCCTCTGTGTCCTTCTTTTAGCTTTTCCGTAGCTGTTAGAGAGCTAGGAAGAAAGAGAGCTAGAGGAACCAACATGCAGCTGGGTCACTTCATCCTTTGAGATTTAATTAGATGGACTCAGCCCTTTTTCCTAAATGTGGTGGGAAAGGAGGCATCCCTTCCCCTCCCTGCACATTTCACTCTTACCCCAGAACTTTTGGGATAGCTTGTACTCTGGACTTAGACCATTGGATTCTACCTTTGTTTCTGGAAGTCTCCTCCGCTGTGCAATTAGCCCACTCTTTATATCTTCTGCCCATTTCTGCATGTGTCTTCTTCCTGGACATTATCCAAATCCCTTCACTGCCCAAAGTCCAGACAATTCAGGGCTATGTGTAGAGTCTTACCCTAGGTTTGGGGTCATAAAGCTGCACTAATATAATTAATAATTTTATTTATTTTATAATAATTTTATTTATTATATTTGTGCAGCTTCATGACCCCACTTAAAATAAAATTTGAGATATTTTTGTCCTCAAAAGTTGTTGGCCATCCCTCCCACTGGGGAGTTGCAATCTTCTCTGGCCTGGGAGTCTCCTTTCTTCTGCTTCCAAGTCTGCTCTTCTTCCCTGACTGGCTCCTGCTCCCAGCCCCAAAATCCTTATTCTTTTCTTTTTTGAGAGGGAGTCTCACTCTGTCACCCAGGCTGGAGTGCAGTGGTGTGAGCTCAGCTCACTGCAACCTCCGCCTCCAGGGTTCAAGCGATTCTCCTGCCTCAGCCTCCCAAGTAGCTGGGATTACAGGCACCCACCATCACACCCGGCTAATTTTTGTATTTTTAGTAGAGATGGAGTTTCACCATGTTGGCCAGGCTGGTCTTGAACTCTTGAGCTCAGGTGATCCACCCACCTTGGCCCTTGTTCTTTTCGTATGCAGAACAGTTTTGCTCTCTTCATCTTATTCCTGCTTTATTCTAGCTGTGCCCCAAGGACTCTTTCTTTCCACATCAGTCCTCGCACATAAGGATTCTGTTTGTCACCAAACAGAGACTGTTCCCTAAGATGAATTCTGCCACTAGCTATTAAACTAGCATTTGTTTAATGTGCCATGCTAAATATTACTAGTTAATGGGTTAATCTCCTTCTAAAATATATGCATGTTCACAGGGGTTTGCCTGAGGAATACACTGAATTTTTAATTAGAGCTTCTCGACTGCTCCTGGGCCCCTTTGGTGAGATATGCCTGACTAGGAAAGCCTTTTTCAACTGCCACAAATTGTTCCACAGAGGCCACTGTTTTTCCATTTTTCTACCTATTTTGTGTTCTTATTTTTTTTCCTCTGCAAGCATGTACATCTACATGAATGTAAAGAAAAACATTTAAAGAACAGAAGGTTCAAAATGAAAGCAGCCCTCTTTCATTGAGTTTAAACAAACGTCTGTGCTAAAGCATTTATATGCGTTATTTAAATAACACCATGAGGAATCTATTGTGTGATAGGAAACAGCCCCCTATGAGGTAGCTCACCCAAGGTCACATATATAGTGGATTCAGTCTATGTGAGTTTACTCCCAAGTCCTGTGCCCTTCACCACTAGAGTAAAGTGGCAGCCACCAACTTTTCTCTGTAGAAACAGTTCATTACATTTCCTCAATGGCAGAAGTCCCTTGATTTCATGTACTAATTTTTTTTTTTTTTTTTTTTTTTTTTTTTTAGTAAATACAGCATTGCTTAAATACACATAGTTTCTTGAATTGTGAACAAGAATCAGTCGGTTGTGGGATATACTGGTTGTGTGACAAGGTTAAGCCAATGATAAGGTATTGAGATAATTCAATATTGTCTAAAAAGTAACCTTAGGGGCTGGGCATGGTGGCTTACACTTATAATCCCAGCCTTTTTGGAGGCTGAGGCGGGTGGATGGATTGAGCTCAGGAGTTCAAGACCAGCCTGGACAACATGGCAAAGCCCTGCCTCTATAAAAAATATTTTTTAAAAAATTAGCCAGGTGGTGGCTCACGCCTGTAGTTCTAGCTGAGGTGGGAGGATGGCTTGAGCCGGGAGGCAGAGGTTGCAGTGAGTCAAGATCACACCACTGCACTCCAACTAGGGTGACAGAGCCAGATCCTGGCTCAAAAAAAAAAAAAAAAAAAGTAATCACAGTTCTTTTATAAATGTGTATTAAGCATATGTATAAAATATAAAACCTATTTCCTTATTTTTTATTTTTTATTTTTTTCCAGCTTTTTAAAATTTTTATGGGTGCACAGCAGGTGTATATATTTATGGGTTACATGAGATGTCCTGATACAGAGATGCAATGTGAAATAAGCAAGTCATGGAGAATGGGGTATCCATCCCCTCAAGCATTTATCCTTTGAGTTACAAACAATCCAACTGCACTTTTTATTTTAAAGTATACAATTAAGTTATTATTGACTATAGTCACTCTGTTGTGCTATCAAATAGTAGGCCTTTTTTTTTCTTTCTTAATTTTTCTCTTTTCTCTCTCTCAGCAGAATCAAAATAGTAGGTCTTATTCATTCTTTCTATTTTTTTTGTACCCATTAACCATCCCAACCTCCCCCTGCCCCCACTACCTTCCCACTACCTTTCTCAGCATCTGTCAACTATCCTTCTACTTATGTCCATGAGTTCAATTGTTTCGAGTTTTATATACTACAAATAAGTGAGAGCATGCGATATTTGTCTTTCTGTGCCTGGCTTATTTCACTTAGCATAATGATCTCTGGTTCTATCCATGTTGTTACAAATAACTGGATCTCATTCTTTTTTATGGCTAAATAGTACTCCTTTTTATATATGTTCCACGTCTTCTTTATCCATTGATCTGCTGATAGACACTTAGGTTGCTTTCAAATCTTAGCTATTGTAAACAGTGCTGCAATAAACATGGCAGTGCAGGTATCTCTTCCATATACTGATTTCCCTTCTTTTGGGTATATATCTAGCAGTGGGATTGCTGGACCATATGATAGCTCACTTTTTAGTTTTTTGAGGGATGTCCAAACTGTTCTCCATAGGGATTGTACTAATTTACATTCTTACCAACAGTGTACAAGCATTTCCTTTCCTGCACATCCTCTCCAGCATTTGTTATTGCCTGTCTTTTGGAGAAAAGCCATTTTAACTGGAGCGAGATGTTATCTCATTGTAGTTTTGATTTGCATTTCTCTGAGGATCAATGATTTTGAGCACCTTTTCATATGCCTTCATTGTATGTCTTCTTTTGAGAAATGTCTATTCCAATCTTTTGCCCATTTTTTAGATCAGATTATTAGATATTTTCTATTAATCTCTTATCAGATGGGTAGTTTGCAAATATTTTCTCCCATTCTGTGGGTTGTCTCTTCACTTTGTTGATTGTTTCATTTTCCGTGCTTTTTACCTTGAATTGATCCTATTTGTCCATTTTTGCTTTGGTTGCTTGTGCTTGCGGGGCATTGCTCAAGAGATTTTTGCTCAGACCATTGTCCTGGAGATTTTCTCCAGTATTTCCTTGTAATAGTTTAATAGTTTGTGGTTTGAGATTTAAGATTTAAGTATTTAATCCATTTTGATTTGATTTTTGTATATGGCAAGAGATAGGAGTCTAGTTTAATTCTTCTGTGTATGGATATCCAGTTTTTCCAGCACCATTTATTGAAGAGATTGTCTTTTTGCCATTGTATGTTCTTGGCACCTTTGTTGAAAATGAGTTTACTGCAGAAGTATGGCTTCATTTTTGGGTTCTCTATTCTGTTCCATTGACCTATGTGTCTGTTTTTATGCTAGAACCATGCTGTTTTGTTTACTATAGCTTTGTAGTATAATTTGAAGTCAGGCAATATGATTCCTCCAGTTTTGTTCTTTTTGCTTAGGGTAGCTTTGGTTATTGTGGGTCTTTTGTGGTGGCATATAAATTTTTGGATTGTTTTTCTATTTCTTTGAAGAATGTCATTGGTATTTTGCTAGGAATTGCATTGAATCTGTAGGTTGCTTTGGGTAGCATGGACATTTTAACAATATTGATTCTTCCAATCCATGAATATGGAACATTTTCCATTTTTTGGTGTCCTCTTCAATTTCTTTCAGCAGTGTTTTGTAGTTTTCATTGTAGAGATTGTTCACTTCTTTGGTTAATTTCTAGGTATTTAATTTTATGTGTGGCTACTGTAAATGGGATTACTTTTTAAAATATCCTTTTCACATTGTTCACTATTGGCATATAGGTTTTGTATGTTGATTTGTACCCTGCAACTTTACTGAATTTATCAGTTCTAATACTTTTATTTTATTTTTAAATTTATTTTTATTATACTTTGAGTTCTAGGGTACATGTGCACAACATGCAGGTTTGTTACATATGTATGCATGTTCCATGTTGGTGTGCTGCACCCATTAACTCGTCATTTGCATTAGGTATATCTCCTAATGATATCCCTCCCCCATCCCCCCACCCCACTCAGGCCCCGGTGTGTGATGTTCCCCGCCATGTGTCTAAGTGTTCTCATTGTTCAATTCCCACCTATGAATGAGAACATGCGGTGTTTGGTTTTCTGTCCTTGTGAAAGTTTGCTCAGAATGATGGTTTCCAACTTCATCCATGTCCCTACAAAGGACATGAACTCATCCTTTTTATGGCTGCATAGTATTCCATGGTGCATATGTGCCACATTTTCTTAATCCAGTCTATCATTGATGGACATTTGGGTTGGTTCCAAGTCTTTGCTATTGTGAATAGTGCCACAATAAACATACGTGTGCATGTGTCTTTATAGCAGCATGATTTATAATCCTTTGGGTATATACTCAGTAATGGGATGGCTGGGTCAAATGGGATTTCTAGTTCTAGATCCTTGAGGAATTGCCACACTGTCTTCCACAATGATTGAACTAGTTTACACTCCCACCAGCAGTGTAAAAGCATTCCTATTTCTCCACATCCTCTCCAGCACCTGTTGTTTCCTGACTTTTTAATGATCACCATTCTAACTGGTATGAGATGGTATCTCATTGTGGTTTTGATTTGCATTTCTCTGATGGCCAGTGATGATGAGCATTTTTTCATGTGTCTGTTGGCTGCCTAAATGTCTTCTTTTGAAAAGTGTCTGTTCATATCCTTTGCCCACTTTTTGATGGGGTTGTTTGATTTTTTCTTGTAAATTTAAGTTCTTTTTAGATTCTTGATTTTAGCCCTTTGTCAGATGGATAGATTGCAAAAATTTTCTCCCGTTCTGTAGGTTGCCTGTTCACTCTGATTGTAGTTTCTTTTGCTGTGCAGAAGCTCCTTAGTTTAATTAGATTCCATTTGTCAATTTTGGCTTGTGTTGCCATTGCTTTTGGTGTTTTAGTCATGAAGTCCTTGCCCATGCCTATGTCCTGAATGGTATTGCCTAGGTTTTCTTCTTCAGTTTTTATGGTTTTAGGTCTAACATTTAAGTCTTTAATCCATCTTGAATTAATTTTTGTATAAGGTGTAAGTAAGGGATCCAATTTCAGCTTCTACATATGGCTAGCCAGTTTTCCCAGCACCATTGATTAAACAGGGAATCCTTCCCCTATTTCTTCTTTTTGTCAAGTTTGTCAAAGATCAGGTGGTTATAGATGTGTGGTGTTATTTCTGAGTCCTCTCTTCTGTTCCATTGGTCTATATATCTGTTTTGCCACCAGTACCATGCTGTTTTGGTTACTGTAACCTGGTAGTATAGTTTGAAGTCAGGCAGCGTGATGCCTCCAGCTTTGTTCTTTTTGCTTAGGATTGTCTTGGCAATGTGGGCTCTTTTTGGGTTCCATATGAACTTTAAAATAGTGTTTTCCAATTCTGTGAAGAAAGTCATTGGTAGCTTGATGGGGATGGCATTGAATCTATAAATTACCTTGGGCAGTATGGCCATTTTCACGATATTGATTCTTCCTATCCATGAGCATGGAATGTTCTTCCATTTGTTTGTGTTGTCTTTTATTTCGTTGAGCAGTGGTGTGTAGTTCTCCTTGAAGAGGTCCTTCACATCCCTTGTAAGTTGGATTCCTAGGTATTTTATTATCTTGAGAGCAATTGTGAATGGGACTTCACTCATGATTTGGCTCTCTGTTTGTCTGTTACTGGTGTATAGGGATGCTTGTGATTTTTGCACATTGATTTTGTATCCTGAGACTTTGCTGAAGTTGCTTATCAGCTTAAGGAGATTTTGGGCTGAGACGATGGGGTTTTCTAAATATACAATCATGTCACCTGCAAACAGGGGCAATTTGACTTCCTCTTTTCCTAATTGATTTTTTCCTAATAATTTCCCTTTATTTCTTTGTCTTGCCTGATTGCCCTGGCCAGAACTTCCAACGCTATGTTGAATAGGAGTGGGGAGAGAGGGCATCCCTCTCTTGTGCAAGTTTTCAAAAGGAATGCTTCCAGTTTTTGCCCATTCAGTATGCTATTGGCTGTGGGTTTGTCATAAACAGCTCTTATTATTTTGAGATACGTTCCATCAATACCTAGTTTATTGAGAGTTTTTAGCATGAAGGGCCGTTAAATTTTGTCGAAGGCCTTTTCTGCATCTATGGAGATAATCATGTGGTTTTTGTCTTTGATTCTGTTTATATGATGGATTACGTTTATTGATTTGCATATGTTGAACCAGCCTTGCATCCCAGGGATGAAGCCAACTTGATCTTGGTGGATAAGCTTTTTGATGTGCTGCTGGATTCGGTTTGCCAGTATTTTATTGAGGATTTTTACATCGATGTTCATCAGGGATATTGGTCTAAAATTCTCTTTTTTTGTTGTGTCTCTGCCAGGCTTTGGTATCAGGATGATGCTGGCCTCATAAAATGAGTTAGGGAGGATTCCTTCTTTTTCTGTTGATTGGAATAGTTTCAGAAGGAATGGTACCAGCTCCTCTTTGTACCTCTGGTAGAATTTGGCTGTGAATCCATCTGGTCCTGGACTTTTTTTGGTTGGTAGGCTATTAATTATTGCCTCAATTTCAGAGCCTGTTATTGGTCTATTCAGGGATTCCACTTCTTCCTGGTTTAGTCTTGGGAGGGTGTATGTGTCCAGGAATTTATCCATTTCTTCTAGATTTTCTAGTTTATTTGCATAGAGGTGTTTATAGTATGCTCTGATGGTAGTTTGTATTTCTGTGGGATCAGTGGTGATATCCCCTTTATCATTTTTTACTGCATCTATTTGATTCTCCTCTTCATGCTAAAAACTCTCAATAAATTAGGTATTGATGGAACGTACCTCAAAATAATAAGAGCTATTTATGACAAACCCACAGCCAATATCATACTGAATGGGCAAAAACTGGAAGCATTCTCTTTGAAAACTGGCACAAGACAGGGATGCCCTCTCTCACCACTCCTATTCAACATAATGTTGGAACTTCTGGCCAGGGCAATCAGACAGGAGAAAGAAATAAAGGGTACTCAATTAGGAAAAGAGGAACTCAAATTGTCCCTGTTTGCAGATGACATGATTGTATATTTAGAAAATCCCATCATCTCAGCCCAAAATCTCCTTAAGCTGATAAGCAACTTCAGCAAAGTCTCAGGATACAAAATCAATGTGCAAAAATCACAAGCATCCCTATATACCAATAACAGACAAACAGAGAGCCAAATCGTGAGTGAACTCCCATTCACACTTGCTATCAAGATAATAAAATACCTAGGAATCCAACTTACAAGGGATGTGAAGGACTTCTTCAAGGAGAACTACAAACCACTGCTCAACGAAATAAAAGAGGACACAAACAAATGGAAGAACATTCCATGCTCATGGATAGGAAGAATCAATATTGTGAACATGGCCATACTGCCCAAGGTAATTTATAGATTCAGTGCCATCCCCATCAAGCTGCCAATGACTTTCTTCACAGAATTGGAAAACACTATTTTGAAGTTCATATGGAACCCAAAAAGAGCCCACATTGCCGAGACAATCCTAAGTAAAAGGAACAAAGCTGGAGGCATCACGCTACCTGACTTCAAACTATACTACAAGGCTACAGTATCCAAAGTCTGTTTTTCCTTTCTCATATTTTTCCAGATTATTTGGATATTTATACTCTCTGATTCCTCTGGTTTTGTTCTTTTTGCTTAGGATAGCTTTGGCTATTCTGGGTGTTTTGTGGTTCCGTATAAATTTCAGAATTGTTTTTTCTATTTCTGTGAAGAACATCATTGGTATTTTGATGGAGTTTACATTGAATCTGTAGATTGCTTTGGCCATGTTGGCCAGGATGGTCTCCATCTCTTGACCTCATGATCTGTCTGCCTCCGCATCCCAAAGTGCTGGGATTACAGGCATGTGCCACCATGCCCAGCCTGTTCAGTGTAAACTTTCTACTTAGGAAAAGAATAGTCTACACACCACAATTACAGTGTTATAATATTCTGTGTTTTTCTGTATACTTACTATTACCAGTAAATTTTGTACCTTCAGGTGATTATTTATTGCTCATTAATGTCCTTTTTTTTCTGATTGAAGTACTTCCTTTAGCATTTCTTATAGGACAGGTCTGGTATGCATGAAATCCCTCAGCTTTTGTTTGTCTAGGAAAGTCTTCATTTCTCCTTCATGTTTGAAGGATATTTTCACTGAATATACTATTCTAGGGTTAAAGGTGTTTTCCCACCAGCATTTTAAATATGTGATGCCACTCTCTCCTGGTCTGTAAGGTTTCCACTGAAAAATCTGCTGCCAGACATATTGGAGCTCCCTTGTATGTTATTTGCTTCTTTTTTCTTGCTGCTTTTGGATACTTTCTTTATCCTTGAACCTTTGGGAGTTTGATTATTAAATGCCTTGAGGTAGACTTATTTGAGCTAAATCTGTTTAGTGTTCTAAATTTTCTTGTACTTGGATATTGGTATCTTTCTCTAGGTTTGGGAAGTTCTTTGTTATTATCCCTTTGAATAAACTTTCTATCCCTATCTCTCTACCTCCTCTTTAAGGCCAATAACTCTTAGATTTGCCCTTTTGAGGCTATTTTCTAGATCCCGTAAGCATGCTTCATTGTTTTTAATTCTTTTTTCTTTTGTTTTCTGTGACTGTGTATTTTCAAATAGCCTGCCTTCAGGCTCACTAGTTCTTTCTTCTACTTGATCAATTCTGCTGTTAAAGGACTCTGGTGCATTCTTCAGTATGCCAATTGCATTTGTCAGCTCCAGAATTTCTGCTCGATTCTTTTTGATTATTTCAATCTGTTTGTTAAATTTATCTGACAGAATTCTGAATTCCTTCCCTTTGTTGTCTTAAATTTTTTTGAGTTTCCCAAACACAGCTATTTTGGTTCTCTGTCTGAAAGGTCACATATCTCTGTTTCTCCAGGATTGGTCTCTGGTGGCTTATTTAGTTCATTTGGTGAGGTCATGTTTTCCTGGATGGTGTTGATGCTAGCAGATGTTCTTTGGTGTCTGGGCATTGAAGAGTTAGGAATTTATTGTAGTCTTCACTGTCTGTGCTTATTTGTAGCCATCTTTCTTGGACCTGAAGCCAGCTCAGGGCTTGCCTAAGGCCTGTAGCAACTATGGCATGACTACCATTGATGTTTACTCAAGGACCAAGGGCTCTTTAGTCAGCAGGTGGTGAACTCAGCCAGGCTTGTGTCTTTCCCTTCAGGGTGGGGGACTCCCTTCTGGCCTAGGGTGGGTCTAGAAATACTGTCTGGGAGCTAGAGCCTGTAGTCAGAAACGTCAGGAATCTACTTGGTGCTTTATTTTACTGTGGCTGAGCTGTTGCCCAAGTTGCAAGATAAGGTCCTTTTTACATTTCCTGCTCCTTCTGGAGCTGAAAAATGTAATTGATATACTAAAGAATGTACCAGAGTCCCTTAACAGAAGAACTGATCAAGCAGAAGAGAGAATTAGTGAGCATGAAGACAGGCTATATGAAAATACACAGTCAGAGGAGACAAAAGAAAAAAAAATAAAAAGGAATGAAGCATGCCTACAATAACTAGAAAATAGCCTCAAAAGTGCAAATCTAAGAGCTATTAGCCTTAAAGAGGAGGCAGAGAGAGACATAGGGTAGGAAGTTTATTCAAAGGGACAATAACAGAGAACTTCCCAAACCTAGAGAAAGATATCAATATGCAAGTACAAGAGGGTTGTAGAGCACCAAGCAGATTTAGCCCAAATAAGACTACCTCAAGACATTTAATAATCAATCTCCCAAAAGCCAAAGATAAAGAAAGGATTCTAAAAGCAGCAAGAGAAAAGAAACAAATAACATACAAAGGAGGCCAGCATGGTGTCTCACATCTGTAATCCTAGCACTTTGGAAGGCTGAGGCAGGAGGAATACTTGAGCCCAGAATTTTGAGACCAGCCTGGGTAACACAGTGAAACCCCACATATCTCTAAATTAGCCAGGCATGGCATGGTGGCGTGTGCCTATAGTCCTAGCTACTTGGGAGGCTGAGGTGAGAGGATTGCTTGAGCCCAGGTGATTGAGGCTGCAGTGAATTGTAATTGTGCCACTGCACTCCAGCCTGGGTGACAAAGTGAGAACTTGTCTCAAAAAATCCAACCAACCAACCAAACAGAAACATACAAAGGAGCTTCAATATGTCTGGCAGCAGACTTCTCAGTGGAAAGCTTATAGGTTGGAAGTGAGTGGTTTGACATAGTTAAAGTTCTGAGGGGAAAAAAAAACACAAAAGAATTGTATATCCAGTGAAAATATCTTTCAAATATGAAGGAGAAATAAAGACTTTTCCAGACGTACCAAAGCTGAGGGATTTCATTAACACTAGACCCGTATTACAACAAATGCTTAAAGAAAATACACTAGACCAGTATTACAACAAATGCTGAAAGAAAAGGACATTTATGAGCAAGAAGAAATCATCTGAAGGTGCAACACTCACCGACAATAGTAAGTACATGTACACATATAGAATATTATAACACTTTAATTATGGTGTGTAAACTATTAATGTCTTAAGTAGGAAGACCAAAATATAAACCTATCAAAAATAATAAGTACAACAATTTTTCAAGACATAGACAGTATAATAAGATAAAAATAGAGACCAAAAATGTTGAAAAGTTGGGGGGAGTTAAAGTATAAGTTAAAGTGTTTTTTTATTAGTTTTCTCTGCTTTTTTCTAGTTTGTTTATGAATCAGTGTTAAGTTGTCATTAGTTTAAAATAATGAGTTATAAGATGTCATTTGCAAGCATCATGATAACCTTAAAGGAAAACAACCTACAATGTTACCTAAAAAATGTAAAGCAAGAAATTAAAACATACAACCAGAGAAAATCACTTTCCCAAAAAAGAAGACAGAAAGGAAGAAAATACCACAATACAACCAGAAAACCAATTATAAAATGGCAGGAGTAAATCCTTATTTATCAATAAAAACATTTAATGTATATGGACTAAACTCTCTAATCAAGACATAGACTGACTGAATGGATAAAAAAACCAGCCCCAACTACCTATTGCCTACAAGAAACACACATCACCTATAAAGACAGACATAGACTGGCAATAAAGGGATGGAAAAAATATTCCATGCAAATGGAAAACAAAAAGAGCAAGAGTGCCTATTCTTATGTAAGATAAAATAGGGTTCAAGACAAAAAACATAAAAAGAGACAAAGAAGGTAATTATATAAGGAAAAGGGATCAATTCAGGAAGAAAATATAACAATTATATATGCAGCCAACACTGGAGCACTCAGTTATATAAAATAAATATTATTAGAACTAACGGAAGAGATGGGCCCCAAAACAATAATAACTGGAGACTTCAACACCCACTTTCAGCATTGGACAGATCGTCCATATAGAAAATCAACAAAGAAATATTAGACTTAATATTCAGTATAGACCAAAGGGACCTAATAAATATTTACAGAACATTTCTAATGGCTGTAGAATACACATTATTTTTCTCAGCAAATGAATCATTCTCAAGGATAGATTCTATATTAGGTCACAAAACAAGCCTTAAAAATTTCAACAAAATTGAAATCATAAAGTATCTTCTCTGACCACGATGGAATAAAACTAGAAATTGGTAACAAGAGGGACTTAGGAAAATACAAAGCCCATGGAAATTAAACAACATGCTCCTAAATGATTATTGGGTCAATGAAAAAATTAAGAGGGAAATTTTAAAAATGTATTGAAACAAATTAAAATGAAGACACAACATACCAAAACCTATGGGATACAGTGAAAGCAGTACTAAGAGAAAAATTTATAACAATAAGTGCCTACATCAAAAAAGTAGAAAAAAATTTAAACAAATAACCTACTGGTGCATCATAAAGAACTAGAAGAGCAAGAGCAAACCAAACCCAAAATTAGTAAAATAAAGCATATAATAAAGATCAGAGTGGGAATAAACATTTTGCAAAAACAAAAATACAAAAGATCAATGAAAGAAAAAGCTGTTTTTTTGAAAAGATAAACAAGGCCGGGGTGGTGACTTATTCCTATAATCCCAGCACTTTGGAAGGCTGAGATGGGAGGATTGCTTGAGCCCAGGAGTTTGAGACCAGCCTGGGCAACATAGCAAGACCTGTTTCTACTAAGAATAATAAAAGAGAAAATAGCCAGGCAAAGTGGTGCGGACTCGTAGTCTCAGCTACTTGGGAGACTAAGGTGGGAGGATGGTTTGAACCTGGAAGATCAAGCCTGCTGTGAGCTATGATTGCACCACTGCACTCCAGCCTGGGCAACAGAATAAGCCCCTGTTAAACAAACAAACAAACAAACAAGCAAGATTGACAAACCTTTAGTCAGACTAACAAAGATAAAAAGAGAGAAGGCCCAAGTAAATAAAATTAGAGATGTAAAAGGAGACATCACAATTCATACTGAGAAATTAAAAGGAACATTAGAGACTACTATGAGAAACTACATGCCAGTAAATTGGAAAACCTAGTAGAAACAGATATACTCCTAGACACATAAAACCTACCAAGATTAAAGTATGAAGAAATCCAAAACCTCAATAGACCAATAACAAGAGATGAGATCAAAGCCATAACAAACGGCCTCGCAGCAAAGAAAAGCCCAGGACCCAATGGCTTCAGCGCTGAATTTTACCAATCATTTAAAGAAGAACTAATAGCAATACTACTGAAACTATTCTGAAAAATAGAGGGAATACTTTCAAACTTATTCTATGAGGCCAGTATTACCTTGATACCAAAACTAGGAACATCAAAAAAAGAAAACTACAGGCCAATATTCAAACACTGATGCAAAAATCTTCAACAAAATACTACCAAACTGAATTTAACAACACATTAGAAAGATCATTCATCATGACCAAGTGGGATTTATCCCAAGAATGCAAAGATGGTTCAACATACACAAATTATTCAACATGATACATCCTATCAACAGAATGAAGGACAAAAATCATATGATCATTTCAGTTAATGCTGAAAAAACATTTGATAAAATCAACATCCCTTCATAATAAAAACCCTCAAAAACTGAGGATAGAAGGAACATACCTTAACATAATAAAAACCATATATGACAGAATCATAGCTAGCGTCATACTGAAAGGGGAAAAGCTGAAAGCCTTTCTTCTAAGATCTGGAACAACACAAGGATGCCCAGTTTTACCACTGTTATTTAACATGGTACCGGAGGTCCTAGCTAGAGCAATCAGACAGGAGAAAGATATAAACAAGATATAAAGGGCATCCAAATTGGAAAGGAAGAAATCAAATTATCCTTGTTTGCAGATAATATGAGCTTACACTTGGAAAGACTTAAAGACTCCACAAGGAAACTATTAGAATGGATAAATTAATTAAGTAAATTTGCAAGATACAAAATCAACATACAAAAATTAGTAGCATTTTCATATGCCAAAAGCAAACACTGCAAAAGAAATTAAGAAATTAGTCCCATGTATAGCTATAAACAAAATACCTAGGAATAACTTTATCCAAAGAAGAGAAAGATCTCTGCAATGAAAACTGTAAAACACTGATGCAAGAAATTGAAGAGGGACACAAAAGCATGGAAAGATATTCCATGTTCACGTATTGGCAGAATCAGTATTGTTAAAATGTCCATACTGCCCAAAGCAATCTACAGATTCAATGTAAACTCCATCAAAATACCAACGATGTTCTTCACAGAAATAGAAAAAAACAATTCTGAAATTTATATGGAACCACAAAAGACCCAGAATAGCCAAAGCTATCCTAAGCAAAAAGAATGAAACCAGAGGAATCATAATACCTGACTTCAAATCATACTACAAAGCTGTAGTAACCAAAAAGCATGATACTGGTATAAAAACAGACATATAGGCTAGTGGAACAAAATAAAGAACTCAGAAATAAATCTTTACTACTACAGTGAACTAATTTTCAATAAAGGTGCCAAGAACATACATTGGGGAAATGATAGTCTCTTCAATAAATGGTGCTAAGAAAAAACTAGACCCCAACTCTTGCCATATATAAAAATTAAATCGAAATGGATGAAATACTTAAATCTCAAACTATAAAACTACTAATAGAAAACACTGGGGGAAAATCCCCAGGATATTGGTCTGGGCAAAGATTTCTTGAGCCATAGCCTATAAGCACAGGTAACCAAAGCAAAAATGGACAAATGGGATCACATCAAGTTAAAAACTTTCTGCATAACAAAGGAAACAATCAACAAAGTGAAGAGACAACCCACAGAATGGGAGAAAATATTTGCAAACTATTTATCTGACAAGGGATTAATAACTAGACTATATAAAGAGCTCAAACAACTCAATAGGAAAAAATCTAATAATCCAATCAAAATGGACTAAAGATTGGAATAGACATTTCTCAAAAGAAGACATATGGCAAACAGATATATGAAAAGGTGCTCAATATCACTGATCATCAGAGAAATGAGAATCAAAACTACAATGAGATATAATCTCAACCAAGTTAAAATGACTTTTCTTTAAAAGATGGGCAATAACGAATGCTGGGTAGGATGAGGAGGAAAGGGAATGTTTATACACTGTTGGTGGGAATGCACATTTGTACAGCCACTATACAGAGTAGTATGGAGGTTCCTCAAAAACTAAAAATAGAACTACCATATGATCCAGCAATCTCACTGCTAGGCATAAACCCCAAAGAAAGAAAATCAGTATAGCAAAGAGATATCTGCACTCCTGTGTTTATTGCAGCACTATTCACAATAGCCAATGTTTAGAAGCAACCCAAGTGTCCATCAACAGACAAATGGATAAGCAAAATGTGGTACACAATGGAGTACTATTCAGATATAAAAGGAATGAAATTCTGTCATTTGCAACAACATAGATAGAACTGGAGGACATTATGTTAAATGAAATAAGCCAGGCGCAGTAAGACAACTGTCACATGTTCTCACTCATTTGTGGGAGCCAAAAATTAAAACAATTGAACTCATGGACATAGAAAGTGAAATGAATGTTACCAGGGATTGGAAAGCACAGTGGGGAGGAGGAATGGTGATGGTTAATGGGTACAAAAATATAGGTAGGTAGAATGAATGGGATCTAATATTTGATAGCACAATAGGATGGTTTTAATCAACAATATTTTATTGTTTAAAAATATCTAAAATTATAATTGGAATGTTTATAACACAAAGAAATGATAAATACTTGAGGTGATGAATATTCCATTTACCTTGATGTGGTTATTATACACTATATGCCTTTATCAAAATATCTTATGTACCCCATAAATAATATACCTACTATGTACCCATAAAAATAAAAAATGAAACAAACAAGTAAATAACAATAACAACACACCTGGGGGGACGTCCAGTGTCTTCGGATATGGCAATTTCTTATGTTTGTCAAGATCTATTCACCCCAGTTAATCAGTATATAAACATGTTTATATATAGCAGTGTGGATTGTTTAATATACTTAAATTTTTTAGAGCAGTTTTGTGTTTATAGTAAAATTCAGAGAAAGGTACAGAGATTTCCCACATACTCTCTGTCCCCACGCAAGCATAGCCTCTCCCATTATGAACATTCTTCACCGAAGTCGTACATTTGTTACAATTGATGAACTTACATTGACACATCATTATCACCCAAAGTCCATAGTTTACATTAGGATTCCCTTTTGGTGTTGTACATTTTACAGGTTTGGACAAACGTATAATGACATGTACCCACCAGTTATAATATCACACAGAGTAGTGTTACTACCCTAAAGATTCTCTGTGCTCTGTCAATCCATTCCTTCCTCCCTCCCTAATCCCTGACAACCACTGATTTTTTTCCTGTCTCTATAGTTTTGATTTTTCCTAAATGTTGTATAGTTGGAATCATACATGTGTACCCTTTTCAGATTGGCTTCTATCACTGAATAATATCCGTTTAAGTTTTCTCCATTCTTTTTCATGGCTTGATAGCTCATCTCTTTTTAGCACCAAATAATGCTCCATTATCTGGATGCACTGCAATTTACTTACGTATTTACTTACTGAAAGGTAAATACGTAAGTTGCTTGGTTGGTTGGTTGCTTTTAAGTTTTGGCAATTAGGAGTAAAGCTGCTATAATCACCCACGTGCAGGTTTTTGTGTGGCTATGTATTTTCAGTTCCTTTGGAAAAATACCAAGAAGGGTGATTGCTGGATAATATTGTAAGAGTATGTTTAGTTCTGCAAGAAGCTGTCAAACTGTGTTCCAATGTAGCTGTACCATTTTGTATTTCCACCAGCAATAAATAAGAGTTTCTATTCCTGTACATCCTCAACAGCATTTGCTGCTGTCAGTGTCTACATTTTGGCCATTCTAATAGGTATATAGTGGTATCTCATTGTTGCTTTTATTTGGATTTCCCTAATGACATATGATGTAGAGTATCTGTCCATATGCTTATTTGACATCTATAGATCTCCTTTGATGAAGTGTCTATTAAGGTCTTTGGCCCATTTTTAATTGTGTTGTTTTCTTATTGTTGAGTTTTAAGAGTTCTTTGTATATTTTGGATAACAGTCATTTATCAGATAGATCTTTTGCAAATATTTTCTTCCAGTCTGCGGTTTGTCTTTACATTCTCTTGACAGTGTTTTTCCCAGGGCAGAACATTTTAATTTTAATGAAGTCCAGTTTATCAATCCTTTCTTTCATGGCTTATTCCTTTGGTGTTCTATCTGAAAAAGTCATCACCAAACCCAAAGTAATCTATATTTGCTCGTATGTTATTTTTTAGGAGTTGTTTTTTAATTAGCTATGGAGTCTTCAGGATTATGTCCTATCTTTTAGTTTATATTAAACAGTAGAGTCCAACAGTCTTCTGTTTGTTATTTAATTAATTAATTAATTAATTAATTTTTTGAGACTGAGTCTCACCCAGTTGCTCAGGCTGGAGTGCAGTGGCACAATCACGGCTCACTGTAGCCTCAAACTCCTGGGTCCAAGTCATCCTCCCACCTCAGCCTCCTGAGTAGCTGGGACCAAATGTGCACACCAACATGCCTGGTCACCATTTAAAAAAATTTTTTTAGAGACAGGATCTCACCATGTTGCCCAGACTGGTCTCAAACTCCTGGGCTCAAGCAATCCTCCCACCTCAGCCTCCCCAAGTGCTGAGATAACAGGTGTGAGCCACTGTGCCTGGCCTGTTTGTTTTAAAAAAATCACCTGTGATACTGTGAATTATGAATAAGTTATCCTTTTATTCTTTCCCATTCCTTCTTCTTTTGAAATTCTTCATGCTGGGGGTTTGTGATCAACCCCAGCTTTTCATATGGCCCATTGGGCATGCCTCTTTGTTCCCTGTGTTAAGAAAATGTTTTGCTGCAAGTGAATGATCAGGTGGCAGGGATGTGGCTTCTATGTGTCAGAACATGGTAGCTGGTTCAGTGATTTATCTGATGGGAAATTTTCTCTGGGAGAGAAGGGTTGATGATGTCATCTAATTCATCTAACTCTGCTTTATTGAACACAGCTAAACCAGATTTGAAAACAAGTGGAAGACAACATGGTAAACTACAGGCAAAAAGACAGAGCTCTTGAGTATTCCTGACCAAGTAAAGGCCTGACAAGGAAGAATATGTGTTGACAGTATTTCTTAGGACATGCTTCAAGGACCACATTAAAACATTTCCACAGGGTATAGGCTTCAATCAGCAGAAGATGTTCTTGTATCCCAAGTACCACAGGGTCGAGTTTTCCAATGACCCCAGCACAGCAGCCAACACAAGGGCTGCTGGAGTAATTAAAAAGATTTCATTAAGTGTCAGCAAAAGCTTGTGGCCAAATGTAGACAAATTTTATGCATTATTATATTCAAGTCTCTCCAAAAACATTCAGCCTAATCTAATTGAATTAAATATTAAGGCAGGAAAACACTTATTTAAAAGAAAGATTTGTTCTGCTTTAGGTGACAATGTTTTAAGAAATCCTTCTGCTTTATTCAATTTGTAAAATACATAAATTGTTGGAATAAATTCTTCTCAAGGTCGCTTTTCAAACAGATGCATATACTCCCTTTCAGAAATTTTATTGACTTTGGATCACATTCACCTAACATTAATTGAGTATCTACTGTATTAGGCATTACATTCTAACAAACTACAAATAACTATTGTCCCAATTTTATAGTTGAGCAAAAGGAGACTCAAAAATGTTAAATAATTTATCTGAAAATCACACAAACAGTAAATGGGAGTAAACTCCAGTTGAATCATGCAAGTTAATTATATTGCCTTTAAAAATAATTTTTATTATATACATATATACACACACACACGTATATATATTTAAAAGCAATTGGTATTATGTCAGATGTGTATTGTGTTCATCTCATTAGTGAAGCCTCATTCTACTGATGTGAAAGTATTTATGCTAATCATACTTATTAGGAATTTGTTGATAGAACAATAAAATTATTTTTCTAGCTCAGTTAGTTCACTATATATTTTTTCCCATTGACTTTACCAGTGAGAAGAAGATGGAAACCGTTTGAATGTGGAACATTGTCCCAAAGTCAGCCAGGTGAGATATTTGGCCATTAGTTTATAGTACTTTTGAGAGATTATGGCTTTTATTTCCCCTTCAAAACTTGTGGGCTTCTGGGGAGAAGCATGAGAAGTAGGAACAGGTATAATTACAGCAGTATGGAAGGGCTACAATTTGAGAGACAATAGCTTATTAAAATTTTAATGGAAAAACATTCAATGCTCATGGATAGGAAAAATCAATATTGTGAAAATGGCCATACTGCCCAAAGTAATTTATAGATTCAATGCTATTCCCATTAAACTACCACTGACATTCTTCACAGAATTAGAAAAAACTATTTTAAAATTCATATAGAACCATAAAAGAGCCTGAATAGCAAAGACAATTCTAAACAAAAAGAACAAAGCTGGAGACATCATGCTACCCAACTTCAAACTGTACTACATGGCAACAGTAAAAAAATAACATGGTACTGGTACAAAAATAGACACATAGACCAATGGAACAGAATAGAGTACTCAGAAATAAGACTGCTCATCTACAGCCATATGATCTTCAACAAACCTGACAAAAAACAAGCAATGGGGAAAGGATTCCCTATTTAATAAATGGTGCTGGGAGAACTGGCCAGCTATATGCAGAAAATTGAAACTGGACTCCGCTCTTATGCCTGATACAAAAATTAACTCAAGATGGATTAAAGACTTAAATTGAAAACCCAAAACTATAAAAAACCTGGAAGAAAATCTAGGCAATATCATTCAGCACATAGGCATGGGCAAAGATTTCATGACAAAAACATCAAAAGCAATTGCAACAAAAGTAAAAATTGACAAATGGGTTCTAATTAAACTAAAGAGCTTCTGCACAGCAGAAGAAATTATTATTAGAGCAAATAGACAACCTGCAGAATGGGAGAAAATTTTTGCAACCTATCCATCTGACAAAATTCTTTTTTTTTTTTTGACAAAGTTCTAATATCCAGAATCTACAAGGAACTTAAACAAATTTATAAGGAAAAAACCCAAACAACCCCATTAAAAAGTGGGCAAAGGACATGAACAGATACTTCTCAAAAGAAGATATTTATGTGACTAACAAACATATAAAGAAGCTCAACATCACTGATCATTAGATAAGTGCAAACCAAAATCACAGTGAGATTCCATCTCACGCCAGTCAGAATGGCGATTATTAAAAAGTTAAGAAATAACAGATCTGATGAGGCTGTGGAGAAATAGGAAAACTTTTACACTGTTGGTGGGAATGTAAATTAAGTCAACCATTGTGGAAGACAGTGTGGTGATTCCTCAAAGACCTAGAACCAGAAATATCATTTGACCCAGCAATCCCATTATGGGGTATATACCCAAAAGAATATAAATCATTCTATTATAAAGATACATGCACACGTATGTTCATTGCAGCACTATTCACAATAGCAAAGACATGGAATCAACCCAAATGCCCATCAATGATAGACTGCATAAAGAAAATGTGGTACATATACACCATGGAATACTGTGCAGCCATAAAAAGGAACGAGATTGTGCTCGCTTCTGCAGCACATATACTAAAATTGGAATGACACATAGAGGATTAGCATGGCCCCTGTGCAAGGATGACATGCAAATTCGTGAAGCGTTCCATATTTTTCTCAAGGATCTAGAACTAGAATTACCATTTGACCCGGCAATCCCATTACTGGGTATATACCCAAAGGATTATACATCATGCTACTATAAAGACACATGCACATGTTTGTTTATTGTGGCACTATTCACAATAGCAAAGACTTGGAACCAACCCAAATGTCCATCAATGATAGACTGGATTAAGAAAATGTGGCACATATACACCATGGAATACTATGCAGCCACAAAAAGGATGAGTTCATGTCCTTTGTAGGGACATGGATGAAGCTGGAAACCATCATTCTCAGCAAAGTATCACAAGGACAGAAAACCAAACACTGCATGTTCTCACTCCTAGGTGGGAATTGAACAATGAGATCACTTGGACACAAGGTGAGGAACATCAGACACCAGGGCCTGTTGTGAGGTGGGGGGCTGGGGGAGGGAGAGCATTAGGAGAAATACCTAATGTAAATGATGAGTTGATGGGTGCAGCAAACCAACATAGCACATATATACCTATGTATCAAACCTGCACATTGTGCACATGTACCCTAGAACTTAAAGTGTAATTAAAAAAAAAAAGGAACGAGATCATGTCCTTTGCAGGGACATCGTTGGAGCTGGAAGTCATTATCATTGGCAAACTAACATGGGAACAGAGAACCAAACACTGCATCTTCTTACTTATATGTGGGAGCTGAACAATGTGAACACACAGACACAGGGAGGGTAACAACACACACTGGAGCCTGTGGGAGGCAGGGCGGAGGGAGGAAGAGCATTAGGAAAAATAGCTAGTGCATGCTGGGCTTAATGCCTAGGTAATGAGTTGATAGGTGCAGCAAATCACTATGGCATACATTTATGTACGTAACAAACACCTGCACATCTTGCACATGTACCCCAGAACTTAAAATAAAAAAACAAAATTTTTTTTTTCTCAGAGATGCTTTGGGTTTATTTGATGGTCTTGCCTTGTTATTTCTGTCTTGAGAAGTCACTGAACTAAAGGACAGTGAGAAGAGTCTAGTCCATTCCTCACCTCAAGCCATTCTCCAGCTAATATTCTTGAATAGACAAGTAATTTTCTTAAAAATTATCTTAAAAGTAAGTCTCTGGTAACCTATTCATTTCAGCATCAGGCAGTTCTTTAAAAAAATTGAACGATGTCTAAAATAGCTTCTAACACACAGTAGACACTTGATAAATACTTGGTAGATGAAATAATAAAACAAATCCATTAATTTAATTTAAGTTAATTAATTTATTTTTTATTATACTTTAAGTTCTAGGGTACATGTGCACAATGTGCAGGTTTGTTACATATGTACCCATGTGCCATGTGCATGTGCTGTACCCGTTAACTCGTCATTTACATTAGGTATATCTCCTAATGCTATCCCTCCCCCCTCCCCCCATCCCATGACAGGCCCCAGTGTGTGATGTTCCCCGCCCTGTGTACAAGTGTTCTTATTGTTCATTTCCCACCTATGAGTGAGAACATGTGGTGTTTGGTTTTCTGTCCTTGCGATAGTTTGCTCAGAATGATGGTTTCCAGCTTCATCCGTGTCCCTACAAAGGACATGAACTCATCCTTTTTTATGGCTGCATAGTATTCCATGGTGTATATGTGCCACATTTTCTTAATCCAATCTATCATTGATGGACATTTGGGTTGGTTCCAAGTCTTTGCTATTGTGAATAGTGCCACAATAAACATACGTATGCATGTGTCTTTATAGCAGCATGATTTATAATCCTTTGGGTATATACCCAGTAATGGGATGGCTGGGTCAAATGGGATTTCTAGTTCTAGATCCTTGAGGTATTGCCACACTGTCTTCCACAATAGTTGAACTAGTTTACACTCCCACCAACAGTGTAAAAGCATTCCTATTTCTCCACATCCTCTCCAGCACCTGTTGTTTCCTGACTTTTTAATGATCACCATTCTAACTGGTATGAGATGGTATCTCATTGTGGTTTTGGTTTGCATTTCTCTGATGGCCAGTGATGATGAGCATCTTTCATGTGTCTGTTGGCTGCATAAATGTCTTTTTTTGAAAAGTGTCTGTTCGTATCTTTTGCCCACTTTTTGATGGGGTTGTTTTTTTCTTGTAAATTTGTTTGAGTTCTTTGTAGATTCTTGATATTAACCCTTTGTCAGATGAGTAGATTGCAAAAATTTTCTCCCATTCTGTAGGTTGCCTGTTCACTCTGATGGTAGTTTCTTTTGCTGTGCAGAAGCTCTTTAGTTTGATTAGATCCCATTTGTCAATTTTGGCTTTTGTTGCCATTGCTTTTGGTGTTTTAGACATGAAGTCCTTGCCCATGCCTATGTCCTGACTGGTATTGCCTAGGTTTTCTTCTAGGGTTTTTATGGTTTTAGGTCTAACATTTCAGTCTTTAATCCACCTTGAATTATTTTTTGTATAAGGTATAAGGAAGGGATCCAGTTTCAGCTTTCTACATATGGCTAGCCAGTTTTCCCAGCACCATTTATTAAATAGGGAATCCTTTCCCCATCTCTTCTTTTTGTCAGGTTTGTCAAAGATCAGATGGTTGCAGATGTGTGGTATTATTTCTGAGGGCTCTGTTCTGTTCCATTGGTCTATATCTCTGTTTTGGTACAAGTACCATGCTGTTTTGTTTACTGTAGCCTTGTAGTACAGTTTGAAGTCAGGTAGAGTGATGCCTCCAGCTTTGTTCCTTTTACTTAGGATTGTCTTGGCAATGCGGGCTCTTTTTTGGTTCCATATGAACTTTAAAATAGTTTTTTCCAATTCTGTGAAGAAAGTCATTGGTAGCTTGATGGGGATGGCATTAAATCTATAAATTACCTTGAGCAGTATGGCCATTTTCATGATGTTGATTCTTCCTATCCATGAGCATGGAATGTTCTTCCATTTGTTTGTGTCCTCTTTTATTTCGTTGAGCAGTGGTTTGTAGTTCTCCTTGAAGTGGCCCTTCACATCCCTTGTAAGTTGGATTCCTAGGTATTTTATTCTCTTTGAAGCAATTGTGAATGGGACTTCACTCATGATTTGGCTCTCTGTTTGTCTGTTATTGGTGTATGGGGAGGCTTGCGATTTTTCCACGTTGATTTTGTATCCTGAGACTTTGCTAAGTTGCTTATCAGCTTAAGGAGATTTTGGGCTGAGATCATGGAGTTTTCTATATATACAATCGTCATCTGCAAACAGGGACAATTTAAGTTCCTCTTTTCCTAATTGAATACCCTTTATTTCTTTGTCCTGCCTGATTGCCCTGGCCAGAACTTCCAACACTATGTTGAATAGCAGTGGTGAGAGAGGGCATCCCTGTCTTGTGCCAGTTTTCAAAGAGAATGCTTCCAGTTTTTGCCCATTCAGTATGATATTGGCTGTGGGTTTGTCATAAATAGCTCTTATTATTTTGAGATACATTCTATCAATACCTAGTTTATTGAGAGTTTTTAGCATGAAGAGGAGAATCAAATAGATGCAGTAAAAAATGATAAAGGGGATATCACCACTGATCCCACAGAAATACAAACTACCATCAGAGAATACCATAAACACCTCTATGCAAATAAACTAGAAAATCTAGAAGAAATGGATAAATTCCTGGACACATACACCCTCCCAAGACTAAACCAGGAAGAAGTGGAATCCCTGAATAGACCAATAACAGGCTCTGAAATTGAGGCAATAGTTAATAGCCTACTAACCAAAAAAAGTCCAGGACCAGATGGATTCACAGCCGAATTCTACCAGAGGTACAAAGAGGAGCTGGTACCATTCCTTCTGAAACTATTCCAGTCAATAGAAAAAGAGGGAATCCTCCCTAACTCATTTTATGAGGCCAGCATCATCCTGATACCAAAGCCTGGCAGAGGCACAACAAAAAAAGAGAATTTTAGACCAATATCCCTGATGAACATCGATGCAAAAATCCTCAATAAAATACTGGCAAACCGAATCCAGCAGCACATCAAAAAGCTTATCCACCAAGATCAAGTTGGCTTCATCTCTGCGATGCAAGGCTGGTTCAACATACACAAATCAATAAACGTAATCCATCATATAACAGAACCAAAGACAGAAACCACGTGATTATCTCAATAGATGCAGAAAAGACCCTCTACAAAATTCAACAGCCCTTCATGCATAAATCCATTTATTATCCTTGGAAGAGATGGAAAGGCAAGAAAGCTCTCTGAACAAGAGAGATCCATTGAGACTAAGACGGAAATTGGGTTAAAGTCACCTAATGGTGAAGAGTGTCCTTCACCTGTATTGGCTTTTTTTCGGTATTAAAGACAAACACAACTTTAATAATTCTTTTGACAATGGAAAGAAGAAAATCATTTTTCGGAGTTCTGTGATTTAAATAGAAATCACTTAAGCTGACATGACAGGAAGGTGACAACAAATGCCACAAAGGAACAGTGATGGAAAAACATGTCTTTTGACTGTATTATAACATCCATATAATTCGTTAGACTTGATGGGAAGGAAGTGTCATGTTGGAATCTTATGTTGCAAGATTGAGCTTTAAAGGCATAAAACAGGTCCAAAGCTGGATAACAAAGGTATTGAGGAGTGATCTATGACATAAATCACTCAATTCAGAGACTAACCTCTGAGAGGCACGTGTGTAGTGTAGACCCAAAGAAGCATGGCAAAAGATTTGAAAACAACTAACATTTAAACTAATTGACCAAAGAAGGAAGGACAATTTATAGTCTGAACCCGGCCATACTGTTTGCCTGCTAAAACAATAACAAAAAGTCAACATTCTCCAAAGAATTTTAATAAGACTACGAGTTTCATAGTATAAAATGTATTAAAAATGTCTGAGATAGAATCTAAAACTGCTCAACATATGAAAAGGCAGGAAAACATGACTAATCCTCAAGCGAAAAGACAATCAACAGATACTAACCCTAAGATTATCCAGGGGTTGGAATTATTAGACAGACTTTAAAACAGCTATTATAACCAAACTTAATGAAGCAATAGTGAACACATTTGAAATAAATGAAATTTTGAAAATGAGTTTTCAGTAGATAAATATAATTATAATCAAAAGAGCCAAATGAAAATTTTAGAACTAAAAAAGATAATGTGTGAAATAAAAAAAAATTCACTGGATGGGCTCAGTAGCAGAAATGAGATGGTGAAGAAAAGTCAGTGAATTTGAACATTGTTCAATAGAAATCATCCGAAGTAAAGAACTGAGAGAAAAATATTTGTTAAAAACAAACGGATCATCAGAAACTTGTGGGACAGTATTTTGAGATAAAACGTTTGTGTAATTGCAGTCCCAGGAGGAAAAAAAAATTGGTGAAGAAAAATTATTTGAAAAAATAATGGCTGAAAACGTTCCAATTTGGTGAAACACGTAAGGTTATCTTATAAAGTCAAAGAAAATCACATCAGACAGATATAATCAAACTTATAAAAACCAAAAGAGGGAGACAAAAGAAAAAGAGTTCTTAAAGATCTTTAAAAATCCTACATAGCTTAGAAGACAATGGAACAACATCTTTAAAGTTCTTAAAGAAAAGAGCTATTAATCCAGAATTCTGCAATCAGTGAAAATATATTTCAGGAATTATGGAGAAATAAAGATAACCTCAGAGGGAAAAAAAACTAAGAAAATTCATTGCTATCAGACATTTTCTGCTCTAAAAGAAATGCTAAAAGAAATTCTTCAAGCTGAAAGGAAATCATAAGAGAGATAAAGTTAGAACATTAAGAATAAAGGGAGAACTAACTCGTGTTTAGGTAAATGTAAAAGAATATTTTTTCCTAGTAAGTTCTTTAAAATGCATGACTACCGCGTGCAGTGGCATGAGCCTTTAATCCCAGCTACTTAGGAGGCTGAGGTGTGAAGATTGCTTGAGCTCAGGAGTTCAAGGTCAGCCTGGGCAATAGCAAGATCCTGTCTCTAAAAAATATATCTATATGTATGATTATTGAAAGCAAAAATTGTACGATTAGTGGAGGTTTCAATGTTACACTATAAATGGCAACTACAACTTAAAAGAAGGGAAGGCTAAAGAGATTTTTGTTTCTCCTGCTTACGTCTAATACCTTTTACTCGAAGTGCTAATATTAACACTAAATGGACAACTAAAGGTTGTGTAGGTATATTGTCCATAGAGCATCCACTAAAAAGAATAAAAGGAGATATAGCAAAAAATGCCAATAGGTATATTAAAACGAGAGAGTATAAATATCCAAATAATCAGGAAATATATGAGAAAGGAAAAACAGACTAATGTAAGACAGAAGGGATAAATAGAAAACAAGTAATAAAGTGGCAAATTCAAATCCAACCACATCCATAATTACATTAAAGGTAAATGGCCTAAAGACACTAATTAAAAAAAGAAATTTTCAGATTGGATAAAAAAGAGACCTGGCTATATATTGAATACAAGATATCTATTTTATAGACAGTGACATAAATAGGTTAAAAGTGAAAGGATAGGCCGGGCGCGGTGGCTCACACCTGTAATCCCAGCACTTTGGAAGGCCAAGGTGGGCGGATCACGAGGTCAGGAGATCGAGACCGTCCTGGCTAACACGGTGAAACCCTGTCTCTACTAAAAATACAAAAAATTAGCCAGGCATGGTAGCAGGCGCTTGTAGTCCCAGCTACTCGGGAGGCTGAGGCAGGAGAATGGCATGAACCTGGGAGGCGGAGGTTGCAGTGAGCCGAGATCACGCCACTGCACTCTAGCCTGGGCGACAGAGCAAGACTCTGTCTCAAAAAAAAAAAAAAAAAAAAAAAAAAAAAAAAAAAAAAAAAAAAAAATGAAAGGATAGAAGAAATATACCATGCAAGCATTATTCCAAACAAATGACAGGGACCATATTAACACCAAAATGGACTTCAAAGCAAGGAAAAGTGTCAGAGTTAAAGAGAGGGGCACTTATATAATGAAAAAATAAGCAATTCACTAATTCTTCTACGACTAAGAAGTCATAACAATCCCAAATGTGTATACGTCTAACGACAGAGCATCAAAATACATGAATCAGAAACTGATAGAACAGAAAAGAAATAGACAAAGCCACAATTATATTTGAAGACTTAAAAATTTTTCTCTCAGAATTGACAGAAGTAGAAAAAAATGAGCAAGGATACAGAAGACTTGAGCAATGTTCTCAACCAACGTGACTGAATTGACATTTATATCATTCCAATTTTAATATATATGCTGCTAAATTGAGCACTGAATTGACATTTATGCTCCACCCAACAATAGCAGAATACACATTCTTTCCAGGTTTACATGGAACATTTACCAAGATAGACTATATTCTGGGATATAAATAATAGTAACCTTAAAATAATTGAAACTATAACAGTTTTAAAAAAGCGTTTCAATCACAACAGAATTAAACTTGGAATCAATAACAAAGCTTTCTGGAAAATTGATGAATATTTGAAAATTAATCAACACATTTTTAAAAAACCCAGTGGTTACAGAAAAAGTCTTAATAGAAATTAGGCCATATTTTGAACTGAATTAAAATAAAAATAAAACATCAAAAATTTGTGGCATGTAGCTGAAATAGTACTGAATAAAATTTATAGCATTAAATGCTTTCATCAGAAAAGAAAAAAGATGTCAAATAAATAATCTAAGCCTCTGCTTTAAGAAACTAGAAAAAGGAGAATAAACTAAACCCACATTAAACAGAAGGAAGAAAAGAATAAAATTAAGAGCAGAAATCAATGAAATTGTAAACATAAAAATAGAGAAAATCAGTGAATAGCAATCAAATGAAAGCTGGTTCTTTGAAATGATCAATATAATCAATCAATTTCTAACCAGAGTGTTGGGAAACAACTCTTTATGGATCTCTCACTTTTCTACATGTTTTTTGAGTAAGACACTGACTACCCTTTGTTCTGGACTATTTTTCCCCCCAATAATGTCTATAAACATCCCTGGAAGATGGAGATAGTGTCTCACTCTGGAGCAAGGAAAGCTTACTCTCAATATAAAAGATTCTGGTGCTCTAAGTTTAGTGTTCCTTTCCTGCAGTACAAGCCACTGCAGTTTCAGGTATCATCTAGACCTCTTTGTGTTGACCTGTGGGAATGTGTGCCCAGGGAACTGGTGCAAAAATCTTGACACGCTGGCTGGCTGCTGCTACTGCTGTAAGCACTAAACTAAACTTTGTCTCTGACTTAGGAGTCATGTGTCTTCCACCAGAATCTACAAAACTGGCAGCCTAATTTCTTAGTTTGCAAGTAGGGTAAAATCTCCAACCCTTCACAGTTCTTAACATAAAGTGACCAGGAAAAACCTTAGAGAAGACATAAATTACTTGACTGCAGGCTAATTTTGCCTAACTATAGGCTAACATTAGAATGAAAGAGGAAATGTCACCTATAGGTTCCACTGATATTAAAAGAATAATAAGGGAGGATTATCAACAACTCCAAGTCTGTAAATTCAACAACTTAGATTAAATGACATACTCAGAAGACACAAATTACCAAAATTCCTTCAAGAAGAAATAGATAACACGAATAGTCCCTTATCTTTTAAAGAAATTGAAATTGAATTTGTATTAAAAAGACCTTTCAAAGAAAAAAAATTTGGCTGGGTGTGGTGGCTCATTCCTGTAATCCCAAAACTTTGGGGGGACTAAGGCAGGTGGATCAAGTTCAAGACCAGCCTGGGCAACATGGTAAACCCTGTCTCTACAAAATATACAAAAATTAGCCAGGGATGGTGGTGGGTGCCTGTAGTCCCAGCTACTTGGTTGGGAGGCTGAGGTGGGAGGATGGCTTGAGCTGGACAGGCAGAGGTTGAAGTGAGCTGAGATTGTGCCACTGCACTCCAGACTGGGTGATAGAGCCAGATCTTGCCTCAGGAAAAAAAAAAAAAAAAAGAAAAGAAAATATTTTAGGCCCAGATTGTTTCACTGGTGAATTCTACCAAACATTTAAGAAAGAAAACAATTCTTTACAATCTCTTCTAGAAAATAGAAGAGCATGACATTCTTTCCAACTTATTCTATGAGGCCAATATTACCCTATTATAAAACCAGACGGAGACATTATGAGTAAAGAAACCTATAGATCAACATTCCTCATGAACACAGATGCAAGATCATCAATAAAATATAAGCAATATCTAATCCAGCAATACATAATTAGGGTAATATAACATGACCAGGTTATATTATGAATGCAAGGTAGATTCAACATTCAAAAGTCAATGTGATTCATCATATAAACAACTTAAAGAAGAAAAACCGTATGATCAAATAAATAGATGAAGATGAATCATTGGATAAAATTCAACATCCATTCATGATGAAAACTCTCAGTCACCAAAGAACAGATGGTAATTCCTTAACCTAACAAAAGGCATCTTCAAGAAAATCTGCAGTTAACATCCACTTCATGGTGAAAGAATGTTTGCCTAATATTGGGAACAAGACAAAGATATCCACTCTCATTACTCCTATTCAGTGTCATACGGGAAGGTTTTTTTTCAATGCAATAAGGCAAGAAAAATAAATAGAAGGCATATACAGATATCCCTGATTTATGGTGGTTTGATCTATAATTTTTCTACTTTACAATGGTATGAAACCCATTATCTCCATTTTTTATTATACAACGCTTTATTTAAACAAATTATTTTCATAGAATACATTTTCACATTAGAGATTCCCATTGTGCGAAAATAACAATTTATTACTTATAGTTTTATATCTGTGGACAGATTGTTTTAGAACAAGTAGAACACATTTGAGAATTAAATCTCAGTTTACAATTGGTAATATTTTGATATGTATACAAGGGGAAACTTGCCCTTAAATGGAACTTCTCTATATTCAGAAGTATTCCAAGCATTTCTTCCTAGGATTTAGAAATTTATAATGTGAGATAACAGCATTTCCTAATTTTAAAATTTCCCTAGTATATGTAGCCATCAGTAGGTGGTATCTACTGACTACAGAGGGAAGTTTTCAAAAATTAAACACCGTCTAATTTTCTGCAAAGTTTTTATTCATGAATTAAGAGTATTTCCCTTTGTCCATTATTCCCAGGGCAAATATGGAAGTTTGATCATATACTAATAGTAATAAAGCTGGATTCTCTTTAAGAGATTGATAAATTAAAAGGCAAAAGCTCATATATCATGTTTAGTTATACTGTGAGTCTTATAAGAAGCTGGGAGGCAACCCCGTTAACTCACCAGAATACAGAACTCAGTCTCACAACTTAGATGTAACTCCTCTCAAACGTTTTCCTCAAAGACTAAGTTCTGAAAATAATCTTGTGATTAAGAGAAGAAGGCTATCCACCAATGGACTTACCTGTTATTTCTTCGTTATTGTGGGCTTAATGGCATGACAAAGCAGAGGCAAAGAGGCATACATCAATTCTTCAAAGTATGAAGTAAAAAAGGTCAGAGCTTCCACAGCATGGCAACAGCTTTGCAGATGCCCACATCGTGATAGTTGAAATAGCAAAGCCCAGTAAAGGTTAAAGCTGAAAGTGCCAAAAGCCCTGCCTTGGTAGCTTTCTGCGAGGCATCCCCATGAACATAGTAACAACTTGTCTAAGGCCCCAGTGACCAGGAAGAGTGAGGGTTGCAGCCAGGGAATAGTCCATCGCAGAGCAAGGATTCAAATAAGCAGCCGGAAGCAGACCCAGGAGCAAAACACTGACAACCCTCTCGCTAGTCCAGTGGAGAGACGCAGCCTTGGAGCCAGGATGGTGGCTCGGTGACAAGTGTAAGTGCTGCACTCCACACCATTCTGGGATAGGTCGGTCCTGAAGAAATGCTGAGATATGAGCAGGTCTGATCACTGGGGTTCGCAGCAACAGAGCTCGGCCTCCTTGGGCACCGTAAAGGGCACTCAGCCTCCGGAGAACCGCCATCTCGTTCCTGAGGGCTCAAGGTCCCATTATCTCCATTTTGGCATAATGTATGGTATTTAACAAATGACTTGAGCTATTCAACACTTTATTGTAAAATGGGCTTTGTTTTAGATGATTTTGCCCAACTGTAGGCTAATGTAAGTGTTCTGAGCACATTTAAGGTAGGCTAGGCTAAGCTATGATCTTCAGTAGGTTAGGTGTATTAAATGCATTTTTGTCTTACAGTATTTTCAATTTCAATGGATCTATTGGGACATAATGCTACTGTAAGTCGAAGAGCATCTGTGGATAGATAAGGAACAAATAAAATGATCACTTTTGCAGATGATATGATTGTCTACATACAAAACTTTAAGGCATCTACAAAAGCTTCTAGAAATAATAAGTGAGTTTAGCAAGTTAACAGAATACAGAAAAAAAATCTTCTATACTAGCAGTGAGAAAACAGTACCATTTACTATAGCACCGTCTCCCTGAAGAAAGAAATGTTTTGGTATATATTTAACAAAATACAGGCAGGATCTGTATGCTGAAAATCTGTGTGCAAGTGTTTATAATCACTGAAAACTGGAAATATTCCAAATAACCTTTGGTACAAATGGTAGTACATCCATCTCATGGAGTACTGCTTAGCAATAAAAAGAACAGATTATTTCTACACATAACAACATGGATGAATCTCAGGTGCATTATGCTGAGTGAAAGAAGCCAAACTAAAAAGGTTACATAAAGTAGGTGTCTTGGCCCATTTGGGTGGCTATAATGTAATACCTTAAACTGGGTAATTTATAAACAACAGAAATTTATTGCTTACAGTTCTGGAGGCTGGGAAGTCCAAGATCAAGGTGTCAACAGATTTTGTGTCTGGTAAGAGCCTGTTCCTCATAGATGGCACCTTCTATATGTCTTCATACAATGGAAGGGGCAAACAATCTCTCTTAGGCCTTTTTTATAAGGACACTAATCTCATTCACAAGGGCTCCACTGTCATGACTTAGTCACCTCCCTTAAGTCCCCATCTCTTAATACTACAACATTGGGGATTAGGTTTCAACATATGAATTTTGGGAGGACACAAACATTCATACTGTAGCAGTAGGATTCCATTTATATGACATATAATGTTTAGAAAAGGAAAAACTGTAGGGATGAAGAACAGATCAATGGTTGCCAGGTTTTCTGGGTATTCTGGTTTGGGGAGGAGTAGCTTGAGAGAATTTTTTGGAGATTATGAGACTGTTCTGTTTCTTGATTATGGAAATGGTTACATAATTCTATGCATTTTTGAAGCTTATAAACTGTATACCCTAAAGAGTGAATTTTACTGTTTGTAAATTTTTTAAAAAATTAGAGTACCTTAAGAACATTAATAAAGGTTTGAACTTGAAAAGAAAAAAATAAGAGAAGACTAAGATTTTAGTTTTGTAGCATTTGTGGATGAGGGGAAACTTTATCAACTCAAGCATAGAAAGTATACATGTTCTTGCTCTGAAATCAGTGGTTTTTCTCCATATTCTCTCTGTAGTTTACATGGTTTAAATGTTCTTCAAGTTCAGCTCAATAAAATTGTCTGGCACTTGGCATTGCATACCTGGTCAGATAATTAAGCAGTGTTACTTCCCTTTATCACAGTCTTGAGAAAGTCTGCACCTCCTTAAACTACTGAAGAATAGCTTTTTTTTCTTTGATGTTGGTTTCTGGTGACTTTTGTTCCTCAGTTTTCCTGATGATTGAACAATTGATTGGGAAGACATTTGAAAAAGATTACATTGGATTAATGCCTTAAACAAGATAATAGAACAAACTTCAAGTAGATTAGATATTTAAGTATAAAAAATAAAACTATGCAGTACAAGAAAAAAACATAGTGGGTTCCTTTATAAACATTAAGTGGGCAAAGCCTTTCTTTTTTTAATTTTATTATTATTATTATTTTATTATACTTCAAGTTCTAGGGTACATGTGCACAACGTGCCGGTTTGTTACATATGTATACATGTGCCATGTTGGTGTGCTGCACCCATTAATTCGTCATTTACATTAGGTATATCTCCTGATGCTATCCCTCCCTCCTCCCCTCAACCCCACGACAGGCCCCGGTGTGTGATGTTCCTCTTCCTGTGTCCAAGTGTTCTCGTTGTTCAATTCCCACCTATGAGTGAGAAATGCGGTATTTGGTTTTTTGTCCCTGCGATAGTTTGCTGAGAATGATGGTTTCCAACTTCATTCGAGTCCCTGCAAAGGACATGAACTCATCCTTTTTTATGGCTGCATAGTATTCCATGGTGTATATATGCCACATTTTCTTAATCCAGTCTATCATTGATGGACATTTGGGTTGGTTCCAAGTCTTTGCTATTGTGAATAGTGCCGCAGTAAACATATGTGTGCATGTGTCTTTATAGCAGCATGATTTATAATCCTTTGGGTATATACCCAGTAATGGGATGGCTGGGTCAAATGGGATTTCTAGTTCTAGATCCTTGAGGAATTGCCACACTGTCTTCCACAATGGTTGAACTAGTTTACCGTCCCACCAACAGTGTAAAAGTGTTCCTATTTCTCCACATCCTCTCCAGCACCTGTTGTTTCCTGACTTTTTAATGATCGCCATTCTAACTGGTGTGAGATGGTATCTCATTGTGGTTTTGATTTGCATTTCTCTGATGGCCAGTGATGATGAGCATTTTTTCATGTATCTGTTGGCTGCATAAATGTCTTCTTTTGAAAAGTGTCTGTTCATATCCTTCACCCACTTTTTGGTGGGGTTGTTTGTTTTTTTCTTGTAAACTTGTTTGAGTTCTTTGTAGATTCTTGATATTAGCCCTTTGTCAGATGAGTAGATTGCAAAATTTTTCTCCCATTCTGTAGGTTGCCTGTTCACTCTGATGGTAGTTTCTTTTGCTGTGCAGAAGCTCTTTAGTTTAATTAGATCCCATTTGTCAATTTTGTCTTTTGTTGCCATTGCTTTTGGTGTTTTAGACATGAAGTCCTTGCCCATGCCTATGTCCTGAATGGTATTGCCTGGGTTTTCTTCTTGGGTTTTTATGGTTTTAGGACTAACATTTCAGTCTTCAATCCATCTTGAATTAATTTTTGTATAAGGTGTAAGGAAGGGATCCAGTTTCAGCTTCTACATATGGCTAGCCAGTTTTCCCAGCACCATTTATTAAATAGGGAATCCTTTCCCCATTTCTTGTTTTTGTCAGGTTTGTCAAAGATCAGATGGTTGTAGATGTGTGGTATTATTTCTGAGGGCTCTGTTCTGTTCCATTGGTCTATATCTCTGTTTTGGTACAAGTACCATGCTGTTTTGTTTACTGTAGCCTTGTAGTTTAGTTTGAAGTCAGGTAGAGTGATGCCTCCAGCTTTGTTCTTTTGGCTTAGGATTGACTTGGCAATGCGGGCTCTTTTTTGGTTCCATATGAACTTTAAAATAGTTTTTTCCAATTCTGTGAAGAAAGTCATTGGTAGCTTGATGGGGATGGCATTAAATCTATAAATTACCTTGGGCAGTATGGCCATTTTCACGATATTGATTCTTCCTATCCATGAGCATGCAATGTTCTTCCATTTGTTTGTATCCTCTTTTATTTCATTGAGCAGTGGTTTGTAGTTCTCCTTGAAGCGGCCCTTCACATCCCTTGTAAGTTGGATTCCTAGGTATTTTATTCTCTTTGAAGCAATTGTGAATGGGACTTCACTCATGATTTGGCTCTCTGTTTGTCTGTTATTGGTGTATAAGAATGCTTGTGATTTTTGCACATTGATTTTGTATCCTGAGACTTTGCTGAAGTTGCTTATTAGCTTAAGGAGATTTTGGGCTGAGGCAATGGGGTTTTTCTAAATATACAATCATGTCATCTGCAAACAGGGACAATTTGTGTTCCTCTTTTCCTAATTGAATACCCTTTATTTCTTTCTCCTGCCTGATTGCCCTGGCCAGAACTTCCAACACTATGTTGAATAGGAGTGGTGAGAGAGGGCATCCCTGTCTTGTGCCAGTTTTCAAAGGGTATGCTTCCAGTTTTTGCCCATTCAGTATGATATTGGCTGTGGGTTTGTCATAAATAGCTCTTATTATTTTGAGATATGTCCCATCAATACCTAATTTATTGAGAGGTTTTAGCATGAAGGGCTGTTGAATTTTGTCGAAGGCCTTTTCTGCATCTATTGAGATAACCTTGTGGTTTTTGTCTTTGGTTCTGTTTATATGTTGGATTATGTTTATTGATTGGGCAAAGCCTTTCTGTCTCTGATTCAAAATTCAGAAGCCCTGAAATGAAAGACTGACACATTCAACAACATATAAGAAAGTTTCTTCCATAGCAAAACAACATAAGTCAAAAGACAGTGACAAACTGGGAAAAATACTTGCCATATCACAGGAAAATGATTAAACTACTTGAGAGCCTCTAGAAACTGTGAGAAGCCCAACAACCCAATAGAAGAATAGCAAAGAACATGAACAGACAGTTCACAGAAAAATGAATAAAAATTCCCCCTTTAAGTTGCTTAACCTCACTCACAAAAGGAAAATCACAAATAAAAACCGTACCAGGTATCTTGAAGGAGGGAAAGCAAAATGGTGTCAACTTGATATAGGGGAATTTGACAACATCTAGCACATTTCTTTGACCCGGGGAAAAAAAAGGCTATGCAAACTATTCATTACAGCACTATCTGTAATAGCAAAGAGAATATAGGAAAAAATCAAAATGACTAAGAGTTAGAAAATATTTGAATAAATATGGTGTTATCTTATGGCATATGGTATATAAATATGGTTGAATAAATATAGTATACTTTAATAAAGAACTGAACTACTACAAAAAAATGAAGATGATATATACTGCTAAAAAATGGACTCCAGATATACTATTAAGTGCAAAAAACAATATGGAGTAAGGTATATATTATATGCCACTGTTGTTTAATGGGGAAATGTGCATGTATGTGTGTGTGTGTATTTTTGCTTTGCTTTTATTTTTAATAAGCTGAACAACAATGGAAGCTGTGGTAGGCAGAATTTTAGGATGACTCCCAATATTCTGTCCACCAACTATATATATGCCTTGTATCATCCCCTTCTCCTTGAGTTTACATGGGACCAGTCAATATGATGCTCTTCATCGGCCTAGAGGAAAGAAAACAGACATGTTGTTAACTGCATGTGAAGGGGACCATGTGGCTAGAGGCTGAGGATGGCATCTCAGACCTAAGGGCAACTCCAAGTCAACAGCCAGCAAGGAAACAAGGACCTCAATCCTACAGCTATAGGGAACTGAATAGCCTGGAAGAAGACCCTGAGCTCTAGAAAGACTGCAGTCCTGGCTGATATCTTGATTTTGGCTTTGTGAGGACTTGAACAGAAAACCTATGAACATCCTGCTCAGACTTCTGACCTTCAGCAACTATGAGATAATAAATATGTTTAAAGCCACTAAGTTTGTTACAATTTGTTATGCAGCAATAGAAACTAACACAGAGGCATAAACTGAAAACTTCAGAAAACTTGATGGAAAATGTGGAGGGGCCGGGGACTGAAATTTCTCTGTATATCTTTTTATATAGATTTGAATTTTAAATCATGTAAATATATTATCTACTTAAAATTAAATGAAAAAGAAAATGAAAACAACAACAACCAAACCCTACTGGGCATTGAAAAGTTTCTGAGGGCAGCTAAGGGCTGCTGATATGCACCAGTCTGCTCCCTCCTCCTAAGTCCCCTCAACTCTGCAGAATCTCTTACACGTAACAGTACAGCACATATTCTTCTCACCTTTGTGTGCCACAAGGCAATTCTTCAAGGGCGTACTGACTGCCAAATGGAGGTGAAGTGAGTGAGGAGGTGAGATCTTAGCATCCTTTTGAGGAACATATAAGGATAGAAATTGTGTCAAAGTTCTCCTTCCGTCCTCTGGAATGACTCCACCTCGCTCACCTGCAAATAAAGTCACTGTCAAAGAGCCACATTCTTACACCTTCAGAAATGTGTTCTGTGTGTTCTGTCTAGTTTCATTAAAGACCCACTTTTGAAATAGCTTGGTAACATTTATTCAGCCAATACCAATCGTGAATACGGGCAATGAGGAAGAAGACATTGGAGAAAACAATGTGATCAAACAAAGTCCAAAAGAAAAATGCACAGGAGGAAAACTATACAAACAAGAACAATACCTCTGTCAGAGGCCTGTGAGAATGTGTCAGAATAGGTAAAGATAGAGACAAATTTGGAGACTGAAAGGAGTTTATATATCAACCCTTGGCTGAAAGTACAGACACATAAAGAGAATTTGTTGGAACACGTAATTGAAGTCTCATGGGGTGACAGCTTTAAGACAGGTGGATCTGGAAGCAGTAGGATGCCATCAGGGCCTGATCTGCTTTCCTCTGGCTTTTTCTTAGAAAGGCTCTTCCCTTCTGGAACAATATGGGGGCTTATAGCACCAGACTTTTTTCTTTACAGATTAGCAATCTCCAAAACAAACAAGCAAAAGTTTTCTCCCTTAATAGTTTTGACAAGGGTTTTGTTGGTCTGGCTTGATTCACATGCCCATGGCTGGCCATTTCTCCAAGGGAAAGAGAGGTGTGATGGATCTGGATAAGTAAAGGCAATAGACTACATACTTGATCAACAGAAAAAGAAGGAGGTTAACAATCCCTCCTCAGAGTATGAGGAGAAATTAGGAGGAAGGGACATTAGGAAGTGAAGAGAGAAAACATTTGGCATCAATGCAGTGGAAGTCTACAGAGATTAGTAAAATGATTACTTAGCCATCCTGAGGGTCCAATTAAAGTTAGATCGCATGGATTTTTCATTAAGCCATTAAACCCAGTTTTCAGGTTTTCTTTCAGTAGACCTAGGAGGGGAGAAAGGATGCTTTACTATAGCTTTCCCAGGGCTGGGGATTGGTCTAAGGGTTGGGAGGGGAGAAACTAGGTGATAGCAAAGTTGTGGTAAAGATTCAGTCCAGGCAAAGGCATGATGCAAGGGAACATAGATGGTGGCTGGTGGACTAAGAATGGGGATGGGTTAAAGGACTGAAGGTCCTAAGGCAGATGAAAAGCAGTTTTAGAAGGAGGGGTGGAATGTAGATGGTGTAGGACAGATTTTCTGGAGGTATAAGATATGTGGGTGGAATAGAGACAGAAGGTGAAGATGGAGTCATAGTTAGCTAGCAGGGTACTGCTGTAGGTTGGGTTCTCTGGGGAGGGGGTACTGAGATGGAGTCCCAAAGGCTTATTAAGGAGTAACACCAGTGAAAGGAAAAGAGGAGGAAGAAGGATTGCACAGGAAGAGCCAACAGACCATGAGGCAGATCTGACAAACTCTTTGCCTTTCCAGTTAGGAGCTCCAGGGCAATGAATGCCAACTAGAGGAGTCTTGCACTGGGTGGAAATGGCTGGGCCCTAGAACCACCATCTTGCTTAATCATTGGCTTGATGCTACATGAAAAGTTTATGCTCTTTGCTGAGGCAGTCTCTGAAGGAGCTGGCAGCTACAGGCTGTCAGATAACTGCTCAGGAATTTGGGATTAAATCCATCATGTTGTACATTCCCCTGTTACTGGCAGGGTTGGGCATATGGTCCAATCAGACATAGTTGGAGGAGAGTCCCCCCGACCCCTTACCACTCAGGCACAATAGCAAGGAAGAACGTGGAGCAAGTTGCTTCTGGCAGCCGCCCTCAACTCTTGAGGGGAACCAGCTGTAGGATTAAGTTTACAGAGCAGGGAGACAGCAACAACCTTGATCCTTGAATTGTTGATGGCATTGTGGAGCTGCTCAGTCATGTAGCCACGAATTCTGATTTATCCTTAACAATTCCTGTTATGTAAACTAAATGTCCTTATCAGTGAAGTTAGCCTAAGTTGGGAGTTTAGATTCTTGTAGCCAAAAGCATCCTGACTGATACAAGGGTATTAAAGAGTTCTCAGAGTAATTAACCTGGGTAGAGCCCTAGGGTGATAGCAGAGAAAAAGATGGAGGGGTAGGTTTTGGTTAGCATCATGGAGTAATATGGCAAACTTTCCTTGAAGTTGGTAGGGAATCATGATCTTGGCAAGGGGCAGTACAAAAAGAGGGCAAGAAATTTTAAAAGAGGGGTGCTGTTAGGGATTGGGAAATGATATATAGTGTGATTAAAAGCATGGACTCTAGGCTCCGGATTGTTTTCAGAACTTAATTTGCCTTAAGTTTAAATTCTAGCTCTACCATTTTATAGTTGTATCACCTTTGGCAAATTAATCTCTCTGGACGATTTCTTTATCTGCAGAAAGGTGGTTGTAAAGATTGAATAGGATAATACTTCATCAGGTACCTAGTACATATTAAAGCTCAATAAATATTACTTTAAAAATTATATCACATAAATGAAGACTGTTTCTCAACTAAAACCACATCATTAACCAAAACCTCTAAACTCTCTATTTTGTATCCAGATAAAGTTTAAAAGTTTGGGAAAGAAGAGCTGGAAATGCTGTTGTGTGGTGGAGGAAATGGGTGGGGGAATGAATTTATTATAGTAGTTTGGTTTAAAAACTTTTAAAATCGGTATAGTTTTGAGAGGTACATAGGCAGATTTGTTACATGGATATGTTGTGTAATGGTGAATGAAGTCTGAGCTTCTAGTGTGCCATTCACCTGAATTAGTAAACAGTGTACCCAATAGGCAATTTTTCAAACCTCATCTCCCTGCCACCCTCCCCGCTTTAGAAGTCCCCTGTGTCTATTATTTCTCTCTATATGTCCATGTGTACCCATTCTTTAGCTCTCACTTATAACAGAGAACCTGTGGTATGGTGGTTTGATTTTGCCTCTCCTGTCTGTGGATTGGAAGTTGAGAAACACCGGTTCAGAAGTGGAGGAGGAGCTGATTGCTTCCTTTGCATATAGGGGAGGGTGGAACTGAAGTGCATGGATGTGAGAGCGTGTGAGGTGCTGCTGGGATGTGGAGGAATGAGGTAACAGTTGCGGGAAATGGGCTGGAGGGTCTCACAAATAGGAGGTCAAGGGTGGAGTGATAAATGAGGACCTGAGTTTTGGAAGACTTTATAGGCCGACACATCCGCAGTTCCAAAGGGCTCGAAATGATAGCTGGGGCCTGGCTCAGGCACTGTTCGAGAACACCCACCCTGATGTTAATGATTAGCAACAGCCTAAAGAAGGGGGTCACATCTCCCACTTACAGAGAATGCATTTGGTTTTCTAACTGTGTTCAGACTGTGCTAATTTTACATGGCTGAAACATTTACTTCCCTGGTGTCTGAAGCAGGCATGACAGTGGAACCAGCCACTGGGGAAGGAAGGCTTGCTCTTCTCTTCTCACGGGGCCTGTTGTGAACGTGCTACCAGGTCACTAGCAGTCTGTATTCATGTTTGCGTCCACTGTTTCAAGTTCCCCAGGGAGATATGAGGAATTCCGGAGACAGTGGTGCTGCCCAGCTGCATGTGTCCAGAGGTCACTCTGCTCTCTGCTTGGGGTCAGAAAAGTAGGGAAAAGAATCGAGTGGACATGGAGTGCCGGCATGAGAGCTTTTGCCAAGATCAAAATGTTCCCCATCGCTGTGAGCAGATGAGATCTTGGAACCTGGACGCACACAGTCCCAGCTCCAGCAGGGCTTCTGGCAACAACCCCAGTGTCTTCAGCTACAGACACCACCTCTGTGAATGCCAAGAAAAGCAAACACAGGCCCCAGATCTCCTGTTGCACCAACTGGAAAGAAGCCCACAGCAGAGGAGCTGAGCTGTGAGGACAATCTTCCCGTAGCTCTTAATTTTCCACCATTCTTCCCCCATCTGAATCAAACAAACAAACAACAAGCTTGTAATAAAATTTGCAGGTGTGGCTGGTTTATATTCTGGGATTCTTTTTTGATCAAATTCCCGATAGGATGCTGGGATAAAATGGTGAATAAAGCTGTATAATGCAGTGTGTCCCAGACTTTTCAGACTGAATAGAAGGGAAGGAAACCCTGGAAAAGCAGAGACTTCATTCCCTCCTTGGGAGCTGGCTCTTTTTAGTGGCCCAGGATAGTGTCACTCAAATCCTCTCCAGACAGCCCTTTGGAAACATATTCCATGTTCCTCTTCTTAGGGATGTGGGTAGGAGTGGGGGTGGAGATGGTTCTGTAAAGCTTGAGGAGCAAGGTAATAAAGTGGCACCTTAAAATCCTGGCCATCCAAGATTAATGACAAGACTGGGAATTTACTTGGGGGAAATGCTTTTCTCAGCCTTAGGAGCAGAAAAGTGTAATTACTAATATCAAGAATGATAATTGCTACCAAGGAGAAGAAAATGTTCATAGTTTACCAAAGCAAAATGTGAGCTGTTAGTGGCATACAGGTGAGTGGGGAATCTGAGATCTGAGGCATCTGAATTACCAGAAAAGAAAGAATCTGGGGGCTATTGGTGACTCAAATCTTCAGATATTTCCAAGGCTTTAGTTTTCTGATTAAACAAAGTTTAGTCCTGTTTCCAGTCAGTTGCCAGTTTTCTGAATTAAGGTCAATCAACTAATATGGGTCATATTTAATGTGTGAGGCATTGGGTTCCCTTGGATTATTCCCTAAATTAATCTTCCTTCCTGATCCCTGGATACACTTTCTGCCTCTGTGTCTTCCCTCTTCTAATTCATCCTCCACTCCCTATCACACTGGCCTACTCAAGATACTTTAAAATTAGGGAAATTTTCAAACATTAAAAAATTTAGACAGACTATCCCAAAAGGCCACCATATCTGTCACTCAGCAATTATCAACATTTTATGAGTCTTCTTCATTTTTCTCC
Source organism: Homo sapiens (assembly GCF_000001405.40). Lineage (NCBI taxonomy): Eukaryota > Metazoa > Chordata > Mammalia > Primates > Hominidae > Homo > Homo sapiens. The sequence continues at coordinate 169,698,499 of NC_000003.12, read as the reverse complement.
CTTATTTCAAAACAAATCCCAGAGAGCATATCCCAGATAGCGAAAAGGATTTTTCACTCTTGAACATAATTTCTCCTTTGTTACCTCTATTGAAAAAACATGTTTCTCTGTTTTAAATTTTTTATTGTGAAATATGCATACAAGAGGGTGTTTAAAATGCATAGGAATACTTAATATAAAACAAACAAAAACTAAAATAGTCATGAACCTACTTCCCAGGTTAGGAAATAGAATGTTGATCCTTTTTTTAAAAAAAAAAAAAGAGTTTGCCTTGTATTTCCTATATGATGGTAAACTAGCATGGATTCTTGGTCCCTCCCCTAAAGTTTGACCTATTGGGAACTATAGAAGGGAGAACATTATTGCTGCTGCCATCGCCCCAGAAACACAGGGCTCTCAATTTGGCCATATCCACCCAGAATAATCAGACTGCCCTTTGGCTCTGTGTTTCGTTCTCTCAATATATGAAAATTCTGATGGAGGCATCTGATTGGTCAAGTCCAGGTTACATGATTATGCCCTGCCTGCTAATGAGTTGGGACAGGGAATCTGATCCCCTGTTGATTTCTCTCAAGGGAGGAAGGGGCCCTGCCTTTACTCATCTTTTATTTTCCCCTAATATGAAGACGATTCATGTGCTGAGCACAAAATGACAAAACCCATTTTTCCAAGTATGTATGTCCAGCGTAGGCCAGTCTTCTGAGCTCTAGTTGGTATGTCCAACATCCTACTTCTCATCCCTACATGTTTGTTTCACGTTTAGCCTGTGCAAGTCTGAGCCTATCATTTTTTTCCCCAAATCCTCCTTCTCCTCTGTTGCTTTACTTGGTGAATGGCACTGCCATCTCCTAGTCTCCCAAATCAGTAACCTGTACACTATGCTGGAATTCTCCAATGTCTTTTCTATTTAGTCTTCACATCCTTTGAATGTATCTCTAGCCTGCTTCCCTTGTCTCCCGCTCTTTGCTTAATTCAAGCCCTCATCATCCTTCAGCTATGGTAGCCTTGTCTTTGTATTTCTCTAAAAGCAGATTCTGAGATAAAGGTTTGAGTGCAAATAATTTATTTGGGAGGTGAGAACCACAAGGATAGAAGAGTGGGGAAGTGAGACAAGGAAGGGCAAATAGCCAAAAGTTCTGTTGTCAAGATGGCTACCACCGTGGGCCACTGGAGTTTAATCCCAACTGGGACTAACACATGCTCCAGAGTTATACACCAGTCTCTTTGTCACTGATATAGAAGATGTTGCTGGGACATTCATTCTCTGACACTTCAAGCCTGCCACAGCCAACAAAGTGGGCTCCAGCAGTAGGAGATAGCTCTCAGGTGATGCAATGCAGGTGCTGGCATCTGGAAGACTGGTTATGGCAGTGAAGTCCTAGGGGTAAAGCGGTAAGGGTGGGGCAATAGGAACATGGGATTCAGGCCTTCGATATTCCTTGCATATATTGTACCCTTCCTGATAACCTAATTTTCTATTTTTCAGCCATAGTGATATTTCCAAAACTGAAATTTGATCATGCTATGGCCCCCTGAACATACTTTTAAGGCTTTCCATAGCTTTCTATATAAGATCTAAATAATTTAGCAAAGTCTACAAAGTCTTTCCTTCATCGTTTTTTTCTTGCTTGCTTCTTCAGCCTGACCTCTTACCGCCTCCTCTCTCTCCATCCCCTCACAAATACTATATTCCATTCTTATCCAACCACTTGTAGTTTCCAGAATGTGCCACCATCTGTCATGCTTCTGTATCTCTGCATATGTTCCCTCATTACTGGAATTCCTCTCCCCATCCTCTGCTGGTTCCCTCCAGTATATGGGGTTGCTGAGCATGTGGGGATCTGAATAGGCTACCTTAGTTCAATCAGAACAGAGAGAGAGAAGGCCGAGGTATCTATATGTTTATATCTATATACCTGTATATGTGTTCTTTGTAAGACTTTATCCTAAAAATATGTCCTATTGTTGATAAAATAATAATAGATTTTGAAAATGACTGAATTAGGCTATCAAAATCCAGGGCCATCAAAGATTTGAATCATATAAAATAAATCCATTCATTCAAATTTCTTACTGCTCACCAAGCAATCTTCTGGTTATAATTTGATTTAAATATTAACTACCTACAAGGCACGTACAGGTGCTGTGGTTTGAGTGTTTCTGTCCCCTTCCCCTGAAATTCATATATTGAAACCTAACTCCCCAAGGTGATGTTATAAAGAGTTGGGGCCTGTGGGAGGGGATTATGAATGGGATTAGTGCCCTTATAAAAGAGGCTTGAGGGAGCCTGTGTGCCCTCTTCTGCCATGTGAGGACATAGCAAGGAGGCTCCATCTATAAAGCAGACGCTGAATCTGCTGGTGCCTTGATCTTGGTCTGCCTAGCCTCCAGAGCTATGACCAATAAATTTCTGCTGTTTGTAAACTACCCAGTCTAAGGTATTTTGTTGCAGCAGCAGAAATGAACTAAGACCACGGGACATGCCAAAATGATCATTCTTTTGTCACAGTCATATTTCCTATTTAAATGAATAAATGGCATTCTAATTTACATATCAGTCCCCTGTGTGTTTATCATGAAGTAGTCTTCTTGATAACTCTGATGCACTGTGGAGATCAAATTTTTAAATCTAGGCTGGCATAGTGGCTCATGCTTGTAATCCCAGCACGTTGGAAAACTAGTGGGTGGAAGGGGCTTGCTTGAGCCCAGGAGTTCCAGGCCAGCCACGTGAAACCCTGTCTCTACAAAAAATACAAAAATTAGCCAGGCATGGTGGCTCATACCTGTAGTCCCAGCTACTTGGGGGGCTGAGGTGGGAGGATCACTTGAGTCCAGGAGGTCAAGTCTGCAGTGAGTCATGTTTATGCCACTGCACTCCAGCCTGGGTGACAAAGTGAGACTCTGTCTCCAGAAAAAAAATTATAGAGCCAGGGATCATTCCTTTCACTTCTGTGATGTCATGAAGGTAATGCCCACCTGTCAGGTAACCAGACAGTTGGTCTTCTCGGGCAATGCCACCCCATTGTTATTCTTTTTAAGGTACAATGACCCATGCCCAGCTAATTGTTGATGTATTGATTTCTGAAGCCGTGTTCTAAGCACACCATCTCATATCTAAACATGATGCCAGTAACTGTCAGAGGACATTTTTGTCTGTGTGTGTGTGTGTGTGTGTGTGTGTGACTTTTCTGTGAGTGATTACACATGGAATTAAGCCATTGCATCCTCTCACTCAGTTCCCCCTTTGACCTACATATTTTGGAACTGATTGCTGAAGAGGCTGCACTGTTGAAAAGAATGTATCTTTGGATAATATGAAAATTGGGTGATTCACATAGACTGATGCTATGGCCTTATCCAGTAAGTCAGCCTAGATAAGATAAGTGAGTCCTCGGTTCAAGAATAAAAATATTCTAGTTTGTTTCTCAGGAAAGTCTTATTTAGGAGAGAATGTTGTAGGGAAAGATTAGTCTTCTATGATTAAATGGTTCCATAGGGATATTACACTAATAAATATCAAAACTTAAACTCACACTATTCAAAAAAGCAAATTAGCTGGATAATTGTTTTAAATTAGTAATATGTGGTTCTATTCACTCATTTTCTGTAGACTAAAGAATATCTAAATAAAACGTCACTCCTTAATAAGTTTCCAATTATGTTATTAGTTCTACATATCTACCCTGAGAAGTTTTGTGCTCTCAAATGCATTAAATAAATCCACACCTAAACACAGCTTTGGAAATTATTCTAGACAGATTACCACCACTCCTGATTAGATGTGGAACAAAAAACATATTGATGTGAACATTTGATTTGCAACAACCAATTTGATGTTTGATATCTTCGCTTATCAAACAAGAAGCTGATTCACAATCTGATTTATGGAGTACAGCTACCTTTCAGAAGAGATAATATTAAGCAGATAAATCTTTAAACAAAAGTTTTATCCAGTATATTGGCTATCTTCAGGCTAGCTTACTTCAAGGTGGCAAGGTAGTTATAGCAATTGCAGGCTACATGCAGATAAGATAACCTCTAAGAAATACTAGATGGCCTCTCTCTTGTGCTTCTTTTTGAGTAAGGAAATTCTTCCCAGTTGCTTCCCAGCTGACTTCTAAAATCACACAAGCACATGCTTCACTAGTCACTGTGAAGGCAACAGGACTAGTGTGGTGATCTTAGACCAATCAGGATTCATCCTCTGAAATTGGGGCAGGGCCAATCTTCCCTGCTGCAGAAGGCCTCGGAAGGACAGCATATACTTGTACTCAGCCAAGGTTCTGTAAGAAAGGAGAAAAGGGAGAAATGGTTGTAGGCTAGACACCTAACAGTATCTGTAACATATGTAATAATATTACGTATGTTATTCTTCTTTCAGAATAATCTGTGTTATTCATAACATGCATAGAAATGGAATTTCTTATCGATTTTGAGTAATATTCATATCAATATGTTATGGCAGTATTGTAGAAGTGCTAATTCCAGAGATAGCTTCAAAATAGTCTTTTTCAGTTTAAGAGATTAATACAACTAATGAGATTTAGGAAGTATTTTTAAAAATTGTCCTTTTTCTTTTGAAACCAGGTCACTAATTCTCTGTTATAGCTAAAAGAAAGACCAAATTTGTGTAAGAAAAATCTAGTTTAAGATTTGTAAATCTTGAATTATATTCATTCAAAATGGAAACACCATCTTAATCTGCTTGTATGCTAACTCACATCATATTGGGCAACTCGTATTTTAAAATACGAATTTGGTTTTGAGGATTTATTCAGACACTTTGGAGTAGACAAAGGCTGCACATTAATTAAACTGGATTTAGAGACAGCTTATTGGCTTCATGTAGCTTCAAACATTTAGATGCTATTTTTCATTATGGCTGCAGGTTCCAATCACCGTTCATCTCAAACTGTTGCTAATTTAACCCCTCGTTTTGATGTTTTAAGACATTAGTTACCTAAGAGAAAAAAGAAAGGAGAACTGAAAGTATAATAGATGACAGATGAGATAGGATGTATTTGGGAAATTTTTAAAATCAGAGTGCTTTGCACATTAAAATAAATACATTTTTAAATGCCCATGTAAACAAAGATGGACCTGAAGTTTGTTTGTTTGTGCGTTTTTTTTTTTTTTTTTAACGGAGTTTTGCTCTTATCACCCAGGCTGGAGTGCAATGGCACGATTTCAGCTAACTGCAACCTCCACCTCCTGGGTTCAAGCAATTCTCCTGCCTCAGTCTCCTGAGTAGCTGAGATTACAGGTGCCTGCCACCATGCCTGGCTAATTTTTGCATTTTTTAGTAGAGATGGGGGTTTCACCATGTTGACCAGGCTCCTGACCTCAGGTGATCCTCCTGCCTTGGCCTCCAAAAGTGCTGGGATTACAGGTGTGAGCCACCGCACCTGGCCAGGCCTGAAGATTTTTAAAAATCAATATTTCTAGTCCAGTGGTTTGTTTTAAGCACTGGAAACTGCTTCCTGCTGTTCCTTTCCCTTGGTTTGCCAGGGAGTATAGTTAGTATTATTTATCGTTATTATTATTGCCTCCAACCTCTTCACCTGCCCATCCTTGACTGGTTCTGTTTGTGTAGTCATCAGCTTGTTTCATGACAACATCATACTTAAGTACCTAAGCCTGAATTCCAGTGTCATTTCAGAATCTTCCCTCCCCTCACCAAAATCAGCCAATTGTTCAACTGTATCTTGTGCATTACACCTTCTAAACATCACTAAAATAATTGTTCTCTGTAAGAGACATTTGTACTTTTTGCCTACTTTACTTACTCACAGTTTTCCTTTGGAGAACCTTCTTTCTTGCTTTTAGTTCAAGTGTTTTGAATAATATTCCAGAGGTGGACATGGAGCCCAGCCTTGTCCAATCAACATATCTCATTTTCCTGTCCAAGGAGATAGGTCAGAGTGATGGACACATATCCCAAGTTGTTCCAGTGAGATGCATACTCAGAGCTTTATTGGAACTGCTAAAGCTGCTGATAGGGTGTAATGTAAATCTGGAGCTGCTTGCTGGCTATTATAGAATCAAAGGATGGAGAGAAAGAGAGAGAGAGATTGGGTCTTGGTGACATCAATTGGGTGACTGGAGCCAGCAATGCTTGAAACCTTACCTTGGTACTTTTGGGTTCAAGCTACATTTCTGCCAGTGGCAAATAAAAATATTTTGATGAACAACTATTTTTCTTTTGTACTTTGACAATTTAATTCATTCTTTGAGACTCAGCCAAATGTTACCCTCCTCAGTGAAACCCTCCATGACACCTCCCCCTAACCTGAAGATAGAGAGTTCTGTGCTTTTCTGCATGAAATTTGTATTATGTACAAATTATACCATGGTTTCATTGTCAGTGTTCTTGTTGGTCTATGGCAGATGCTGCTTGTTAACCAATCCCCATTCTCCCATTTTTTTTTTCTTACAAGAGTCTCTATTTTTGCTTGGAGTGGCAATATGCCTAGCTTAAGTACTTACCTTCCCAAAATTCTTTGCAGATAGAGTGGCCTTACTACACAATTCTGGCCAGGAGACAGAAATCAATGTCTGCTAGAGATTTCTGGGAAAGATTTTATTTTCCTGATTCAGGCAGCTTTCTTACCCTCCTCTTTGTTCTTTCTCTCCTTTCTTTCCTGGCAGGAGGCATGCAGCTGGAGTAGAGCTGCTACCTGGCACCCATGAGTGACTAGCTTGTGGAAGGAAGTCATATATTAATGATGGTGGAGCACAAAGATATTTGGAGCCAGAGCCTGAATGGCTCTGAGTTGCCCACCTCTGGACCTAACATTTGGGAGGAAAATTACTCTATTTAGTTAAGCCTCTGTAAATGCGTTTTTGTTTTTTATTTGAATGTAGCTGAATGCCTTCCTGAAAGAATGCATCTGAACCGATAGTCTGGTCAAAACTATGAACTCCTTAAAGACAGAGCCAACTCCTTTGCTTCTGAACTCTAAATATACCTAATGTTTGGCACATAGTAAAGGTTCACTCTAATACTGGAAAGGGGATTTAAGCCTCAGATCCATGTCAATCCTGAGACTTTATGATTTCATTCTGTACGCCACCCCCAATGCTTGCTTTCACTCCAACACCTACCCCTCTCCTAGCCATACATGTTATTTTGAAGGGAACCCCTAAACCAAGAAGTAGAGGTTGGTCTCCACATCTCTGTAATATGGTTGCTGCTATTACTTTCCTTGCTTGACAAACTTCTCACTTATTCACACTTGCTCTTTTTATTATTTCATACATGGAACCTGTAAAGAATTTTTAACATGAGGTCAAAATTTCAGGTTCCTTTGAATATGGTTTCACTCAGAAAACACTTAAAACAAAAATTCTGACTTAGGAATTCAACATATTAACAGCTTCTAGTATCAGTCACCAAATTTGGCTCCCAGAGAGGCTGCCCTGGGCCTCAGGTAAAATTCTTCATCACCCTAGGTAAAAATCCATTTCCTTAGGTCCTGACTTGTGTTCCAGGGGACTGATCAAGTCGATGGTGATTATTGTAATGAGCAGTAATTACTGTTGGCTACACACAGATTTCAGAATTTCTGAAGTCAAAACAAAACAGCTATTATTATTGCAGGGAAGAGAATTTTATTCCACAGGACATGTGCTGTTTAACTTCTATTAGCAGTAAAGAAAAATTACCCATGTACATTTCTCATTCATCAATGGTATCAAAGAACTCAAACTGGGCATCTCCTAATTAGCTTCTGAAGCAGAAGTGGTGCTATCACTTAGAAGGAGACAAAATTAGTTATATCCTTTTATTAAAAGGAAATTTAATGTATAAAAGAGTCATTTCTTAAATTAACCATGTGAGGACTTTTACACTATAAGAAGTAAGGACCAGATCATCCTTTAGATTATCATTAAGCTTGCTCCAAATCATAGACACTGGTAGGTTAAACACTGTCACAAAAAGGAGTCCCCTGAGCTGGTGCTTCTTGTGGAGACAGAGAAACATAGAATATATGATCCAAAATTCTTTGGGCCATGTGACCTAGTCAAAGGACCTGAATAGTCAGAGCTACAACTAAAATTGTGATTATTCTCACTAAATCTCAAACCTCTCCAAAGGCCATTTGAGAAAGTCAGTAATACTTACCTGCGCAATTCAGGAAGTGCTCTTAAAGGTCGGGTATTATTATTATTATTATTGTTATTTTTGAGATGAAATCTTGCTCTGTCGCCCAGGCTGGAGTGCATTGGTGCGATCTCGGCTCACTGCAACCTCTGTCTCCTGTGTTCAAGCAATTCTCCTGCCTCAGACTCCTGAGTAGCTGGGAATACAGGTGTGCGCCACCATGCCCAGCTAATTTTTGTATTTTTAGTAGAGATGGGGTTTCACCATGTTGGTCAGGCTGGTCTTGAACTCCCGACCTCATGATCCACCCACCTCGGCCTCCCAAAGTGCTGGGATTACAGGCATGCGCCACCACACTGGGCTAATTTTATATTTTTATCATGTATGTTTCACCATGTAGGCCAGGCTGGTCTCAAACTCCTGACCTCAGGTGATCCACCTGCCTCGGCCTCCCAAAGTGCTGGGATTACAGGTGTGAGCCACCACGACTGGCCCAGCATTTCCTTTTTCACACAAATTGCTGGAGGATATTTTTAAAAGTAGCTTTACCTACTTTTGGAATGGAAACTAAAATCACTTCTTCTTCTTCTTTTTTTTTTTTTTTGCCATGAAGAAAACTAAATAATGTAATAAAAAGTGATGTGTTAGGTGGTGGCTACTTTAGAGTGAGTGGTCAGGGAGAGGAAGTGACTGTTGAGCTGAGATAAGAAGGAGCTGGCCAAAAGAAGGTCTGGGGTGCAAGAATTTTAGGTAGAACAAGCTGAGCTAAAGGGTTTGAGTTTTGTCTGAGTACGGAGTGATTTTGGACCATCCAGGGGCCCTCTATGCTGGGGCAAACTGGGAGTGGGTGGTAGGAGTGATCTGAGATGAGGTTGGAGGAGTAGGCAAGAGTCAGGTCATGCAGACCCAGGAAAAAGTTTAAATATATTCTAAGAATAATAGGAAGCTATTGGACATGAACTGATCTCATCTAGGCTTTTAAAAGACTACCCACGCCGCTGTACAGAAAATGGATGCCATGAGACAGGTGTGGAAGAGAGGAGACTGTCCAAGTGAGGAATCATGGTGATTGTATTGGAGTGGTAAGAAATGGAGAGAGGTGACTGGATTCATGATATATTTTGGAAGAATGGCCAACAAAACACTTTGACGGATTATACATCGGGCATGAGATAAAGAAGAAAAAGGCTTAACTCAGTGGATAAGGCTGCCATTGAGTGAAATAGGAAGACTGAGGAAGGCCCACATTGTTTTGCAGTGCTAGAAAAAAGAGATTGTTTGTGGACATGTTAAGCTTGAGATTCCTTTTAGATATCAAAGAAAAGATGGTTGCAAGCTAAGGCTGACCTTGATAATAGTGTTTTTACTAGAGTATCGAGGAAGTGGGGCGAGTGACTAAAGACAAGCCTTTTTAAAGAAGTTTTAAAGTGAAGAGAAGCAAGGACATGGTATGATAGCTAAGATGGATGTAGAATTGTGAAAGGTTTGTTTTGTTTTAAGATGGAAGATACTAAAACATGCTTATTTGTAAGTTCTGGGAAGAAATTAGCAACGTATGCTTATGAAGGGAGGAATGAAGTCCCCAACAGATAAGAGAAGGAGAGATCCAGATCAAAGAGGAGGGCTGGCCTTTCATAGGAACAGGGATGCTTAATGAATAGCAAATGGAGGGAGGGCAAAAAGTGTGAATACAGATGTGGGTGGTTTTGCAGGTTTGGAGGTATAAGGAATCTCCTCTGATTTCTGTATTTTTCCCAGTCAATGATGAGGCCAGATCATCAGCCAAGAGTGGTGGGGAGAGAAAGGGAATATAGGAGATTTGAGAGCGAGAATAGAAGCTGTAGTATGGGAAATTTAAAACCTGAAAGCATAATAGGATTTTTGAGCTGTGCTATGTGTCCAATTGAGATTTGTTATTATTTCATACATGGAACCTGTAAAGACTTTTTAACATAAGGACAAAATTTCAGGTTCCTTTGAACATGGTTTCTAAACCATGGATTTTCTAAAACATGGATCTAAAATTAAGTGGTTAACATGGTTGGTCATGTGTTTTTCCATGGGAATGTTCAGGAGATTTGGTCCAGGTATAGAGTAGCTGTGGCAATGAGTTTAACCCTGTTAGGGGACTTTACCAGGAAAGTATAATAATGGGGAGAAATGGAGAAATTTCTATAATCATGGAAATGATTATAATTATGGACCATGGGAATCTGGATATGAGGAAATGAGAGTGATGATGTGATGATTAGTGAAAAAGCAACAGGGCCAATGGGTCAAAGATCTCTATGAGGTCAAAGACTTAGTACAGAGAAGGTACTTTGGTAAGTGGAAATCACCTGGGGAGCTACTAACACATAGGAATGTTCATGACTCTTCCCCAAAGATTCTGATTTAGTTGGTTTGGATTGGAACCTTAGTATCAGTGTTCTAAAGAGCTTTGCAGGTAATTATAGATGCAACTATGGTTAACAGCCACCAAGTAATAGGAAGATGGGCAATCAGTTCATGCTTAAGGAACAGTTAGCTGGAAGGTGTGGGGCCACTGGGCAACTGCTCTCTTCTGCAGCTGGTGTTTGTTTGATGGCTTGGGAGTGACTTGGGAATAAATGAGTTTCCTCCTCCACTGGTCAAACAGTGTCCACAAGAGTAAATTTGAATGTAACTACAGTCAATATTAACTGGGATGAAAATCCCAACTGTTAACATGAGCAAATTTCCATTGTTACAACCATCCCTCTTGGTTTTCTCTGAGCTTGCTGTGGTGTGGTAGCCGGGAAGAGTGAGGAACCATCTCACCTACATGCAAGGCTCTGTGGGGACCCTCTCAAGGCATCTGAGTCATAGGTGCTCTGAAGCCACTCATGAAGCTCCTCTCCACTCTTCATTGTGGGGGAATACTTGTCACTCTTGTGTCTATATAGCCAAGAGTGATGAAACAAACAAACAAACAAACAGCAAAGCAACCCAAAGTGCAAATTATCTATCATTCTCTTTCTTTCATTCTACAGACTGAAAACATGATAAAGTGTCACTTACAGCCTGAGATAAAAAAGCTGACAAAAATACCAACTGACAAAAATATAGAGTTAGAACAATTTCAGAGCAAAGTTCTCTAAAGAACAAAGTGCGCTTGTGATACACAGCACTAGTTCTTAGTCTTGCTGAATTCTGCAACCACAAATTGCCAGAGTGACTGCAGAAGCTAGCAGAAGGCTTGTTTCATGGAAGGTTATGTATGTATGGACTTTTCTGTACCTGCACCATCTCTCTCTAGGTACAGGAAACAGAGAGATAAGCTCTCAAGCTATAAAGTCAACACTGGCCCTCTTTTTCACCCACGTGACCACAAAGTAACCAAGTGGCAGGAAACAGATTGAAATCAAAGGACAAATGCCATGTAGTATCCAGCCATGGTGAGCTCAAATGTGGCCAAATAACTTACAGAACTTTCTCAACCAGAACTTTTATTGCTCACTGCCATCACTGTATGGGCAAAGGGAGAGTAGCCCCTAAAAAAAAAAAAAAAAAAAAAAAAAAGAAAAAAACCAGTTTAAAAGAAAATAAATTGCAGCACTTTAAAAATGTTAAAGGATGCTTTCTATTGCTTTTAGTGGAGTTTATAACAAAGAAATGAAAATAAGCAATGTCCAAAAGAGTAAATTTGACTGTAACTATAGTAAATATTCACTGGGATGATAATCCTAACTGTTAACATGAATAAATTTCCATTGTTACAAACATTTGGTTTAACTTAATCCGCAGAATATATTACTGCCAAAAGGAATCTCATTGACAAGAGCTAATGCATCAGTTACTCTTAAAACTATCGCTCTTGAACTGTTGACTTACTGGTAGTGTTCGTCATGGAAAAGACTATTTTTATTACCACTGTCATCAAACTCAGTGAAGTTCAGAGATATTTGCTTGTAGTCACTACAGCTTATTCCGTTGCTGATTAGAGTCCACATGTGTGAACAAGAGACTAGAGGTTTGGGTGATGCCACGTTTCTATCAGATGACGATGTGATTGTGATTGGATCAGATGAAAGTGTTTGGCTGGGCTTCCAATCCAGATTCTTTCAACTAAAGCCAACAGGCAAGGAAGCAGAAACAAAATGCACAGGGAACTCATTTTAAAATGTTCTTATATAAACAGCTTTGCTTGGAAGTGCTAGGGGTCAGGGTGATAGGTAGAGGTTATTTAACTTTTCCCTCCAGCTTCTCAGATACTCCCCAGCCTCAGATTTGCAAATATCTCTCAACATTTCAGAACTGTAAAGGAAACACAAATTAGGAAGCATCACCAGAACTCTTTCAAATCTAGCATTTAAATAGAATAATGTAATATGATGGAAAGATTTTTGGCCAAAAAGAGATTTGAGAATGTAGGTTGAGCCCCAGTTCCATCATTAAATAACTCTTGGCCAAGTAATTTCCTTTCCTAATCAGTAAAATGAGAGAGGTCTAGTGTACCCATGGTTTGCAAACAGTGCTTTTCAGGACCCTTCAGGAAAGCAGTGGATGGTGGGACTCTACCAAAGTATATTGTTTGTTTCAGGCATTGAAGCTTTTTTTGTTTTGTTTTTGTATTGTTTTCTTTCCAACTTTTAGGTTTAGGTTCAGGGAGTACATGTGCAGGTTTAGTGTGTGGGTAAATTGTGCATTGTGGGGGTTTGGTGTACAGGTTACTTTGTCACCTAGGTAATGAGTATAGTATCTGAGAAGTAGTTAGGAGCTTTTTTTGAAGAAAGATTTCTGTCATCAAAAAATTTCATGAAGGATTTCATTAGATGACCTTTAAAAGTCTCTTTAAAGAATGGATACTTTTAATTCACAACAGTGAATTCATAGCAGTTATTTCTAAACTCTTTTTTTTTTGTTTTTTTTTATTATACTTTAAGTTTTAGGGTACATGTGCACATTGTGCAGGTTAGTTACATATGTATACATGTGCCATGCTGGTGCACTGCACCCACTAACTCGTCATCTAGCATTAGGTATATCTCCCAATGCTATCCCTCCCCCCTCCCCCCACCCCACCACAGTCCCCAGAGTGTGATATTCCCCTTCCTGTGTCCATGTGATCTCATTGTTCAATTCCCACCTATGAGTGAGAATATGCGGTGTTTGGTTTTTTGTTCTTGCGATAGTTTACTGAGAATGATGATTTCCAATTTCATCCATGTCCCTACAAAGGACATGAACTCATCATTTTTTATGGCTGCATAGTATTCCATGGTGTATATGTGCCACATTTTCTTAATCCAGTCTATCATTGTTGGACATTTGGGTTGGTTCCAAGTCTTTGCTATTGTGAATAATGCCTCAATAAACATACGTGTGCATGTGTCTTTATAGCAGCATGATTTATAATCCTTTGGGTATATACCCAGTAATGGGATGGCTGGGTCAAATGGTATTTCTAGTTCTAGATCCCTGAGGAATCGCCACACTGACTTCCACAATGGTTGAACTAGTTTACAGTCCCACCAACAGTGTAAAAGTGTTCCTATTTCTCCACATCCTCTCCAGCACCTGTTGTTTCCTGACTTTTTAATGATTGCCATTCTAACTGGTGTGAGATGGTATCTCATTGTGGTTTTGATTTGCATTTCTCTGATGGCCAGTGATGATGAGCATTTTTTCATGTGTTTTTTGGCTGCATAAATGTCTTCTTTTGAGAAGTGTCTGTTCATGTCCTTCGCCCACTTTTTGATGGGGTTGTTTGTTTTTTTCTTATAAATTTGTTTGAGTTCATTGTAGATTCTGGATATTAGCCCTTTGTCAGATGAGTAGGTTGCAAAAATTTTCTCCCATTTTGTAGGTTGCCTGTTCACTCTGATGGTAGTTTCTTTTGCTGTGCAGAAGCTCTTTAGTTTAATTAGATCCCATTTGTCAATTTTGTCTTTTGTTGCCATTGCTTTTGGTGTTTTAGACATGAAGTCCTTGCCCATGCCTATGTCCTGAATGGTAATGCCTAGGTTTTCTTCTAGGGTTTTTATGGTTTTAGGTCTAACGTTTAAATCTTTAATCCATCTTGAATTGATTTTTGTATAAGGTGTAAGGGAGGGATCCAGTTTCAGCTTCCTACATATGGCTAGCCAGTTTTCCCAGCACCATTTATTAAATAGGGAATCCTTTCCCCATTGCTTGTTTTTCTCAGGTTTGTCAAAGATCAGATAGTTGTAGTTATGCGGCGTTATTTCTGAGGGCTCTGTTCTGTTCCATTGATCTATATCTCTGTTTTGGTACCAGTGCCATGCTGTTTTGGTTACTGTAGCCTTGTAGTATAGTTTGAAGTCAGGTAGTGTGATTACTCCAGCTTTGTTCTTTTGGCTTAGGATTGACTTGGCAATGCGGGCTCTTTTTTGGTTCCATATGAACTTTAAAGTAGTTTTTTCCAATTCTGTGAAGAAAGTCATTGGTAGCTTCATGGGGATGGCATTGAATCTGTAAATTACCTTGGGCAGTATGGCCATTTTCACGATATTGATTCTTCCTACCCATGAGCATGGAATGTTCTTCCATTTGTTTGTATCCTCTTTTATTTCATTGAGCAGTGGTTTGTAGTTCTCCTTGAAGAGGTCCTTCACATCCCTTGTAAGTTGGATTCCTAGGTATTTTATTCTCTTTGAAGCAATTGTGAATGGGAGTTCACTCATGATTTGGCTCTCTGTTTGTCTGTTGTTGGTGTATAAGAATGCTTGTGATTTTTGTACATTGATTTTGTATCCTGAGACTTTGCTGAAGTTGCTTATCAGCTTAAGGAGATTTTGGGCTGAGACAATGGGGTTTTCTAGATATACAATCATGTCGTCTGCAAACAGGGACAATTTGACTTCCTCTTTTCCTAATTGAATACCCTTTATTTCCTTCTCCTGCCTAATTGCCCTGGCCAGAACTTCCAACACTATGTTGAATAGGAGTGGTGAGAGAGGGCATCCCTGTCTTGTGCCAGTTTTCAAAGGGAATGCTTCCAGTTTTTGCCCATTCAGTATGATATTGGCTTGGGTTTGTCATAGATAGCTCTTATTATTTTGAAATACGTCCCATCAATACCTAATTTATTGAGAGTTTTTAGCATGAAGGGTTGTTGAATTTTGTCAAAGGCCTTTTCTGCATCTATTGAGATAATCATGTGGTTTTTGTCTTTGGCTCTGTTTATATTCTGGATTACATTTATTGATTTGCGTATATTGAACCAGCCTTGCATCCCAGGGATGAAGCCCACTTGATCATGGTGGATAAGCTTTTTGATGTGCTGCTGGATTCAGTTTGCCAGTATTTTATTGAGGATTTTTGCATCAATGTTCATCAAGGATATTGGTCTAAAATTCTCTTTTTTGGTTGTGTCTCTGCCCGGCTTTGGTATCAGAATGATGCTGGCCTCATAAAATGAGTTAGGGAGGATTCCCTCTTTTTCTATTGATTGGAATAGTTTCAGAAGGAATGGTACCAGTTCCTCCTTGTACCTCTGGTAGAATTCGGCTGTGAATCCATCTGGTCCTGGACTCTTTTTGGTTGTTGAACTATTGATTATTGCTACAATTTCAGCTCCTGTTATTGGTCTATTCAGAGATTCAACTTCTTCCTGGTTTAGTCTTGGGAGAGTGTATGTGTCGAGGAATTTATCCATTTCTTCTAGATTTTCTAGTTTATTTGCGTAGAGGTGTTTGTAGTATTCTCTGATGGTAGTTTGTATTTCTGTGGGATCGGTGGTGATATCCCCTTTATCATTTTTTATTGTGTCTATTTGATTCTTCTCTCTTTTTTTCTTTATTAGTCTTGCTAGCGGTCTATCAATTTTGTTGATCCTTTCAAAAAACCAGCTCCTGGATTCATTGATTTTTTGAAGGGTTTTTTGTGTCTCTATTCCCTTCAGTTCTGCTCTGATTTTAGTTATTTCTTGCCTTCTGCTAGCTTTTGAATGTGTTTGCTCTTGCTTTTCTAGTTCTTTTAATTGTGATGTTAGGGTGTCAATTTTGGATCTTTCCTGCTTTCTCTTGTGGGCATTTAGTGCTATAAATTTCCCTCTACACACTGCTTTGAATGCGTCCCAGAGATTCTGGTATGTGGTGTCTTTGTTCTCGTTGGTTTCAAAGAACATCTTTATTTCTGCCTTCATTTCGTTATGTACCCAGTAGTCATTCAGGAGCAGGTTGTTCAGTTTCCATGTAGTTGAGCGGCTTTGAGTGGGATTCTTAATCCTGAGTTCTAGTTTGATTGCACTGTGGTCTGAGAGATAGTTTGTTATAATTTCTGTTCTTTTACATTTGCTGAGGAGAGCTTTACTTCCAACTATGTGGTCAATTTTGGAATAGGTGTGGTGTGGTGCTGAAAAAAATGTATATTCTGTTGATTTGGGGTGGAGAGTTCTGTAGATGTCTATTAGGTCGGCTTGGTGCAGAGCTGAGTTCAATTCCTGGGTATCCTTGTTGACTTTCTGTCTCGTTGATCTGTCTAATGTTGACAGTGGGGTGTTAAAGTCTCCCATTATTAATGTGTGGGACTCTAAGTCTCTTTGTAGGTCACTCAGGACTTGCTTTATGAATCTGGGTGCTCCTGTATTGGGTGCATATATATTTAGGATAGTTAGCTCTTCTTGTTGAATTGATCCCTTGACCATTATGTAATGGCCTTCTTTGTCTCTTTTGATCTTTGTTGGTTTAAAGTCTGTTTTATCAGAGACTAGGATTGCAACCCCTGCCTTTTTTTGTTTTCCATTTGCTTGGCAGATCTTCCTCCATCCTTTTATTTTGAGCCTATGTGTGTCTCTGCAGGTGAGATGGGTTTCCTGAATACAGCACACTGATGGATCTTGACTCTTTATCCAATTTGCCAGTCTGTGTCTTTTAATTGGAGAATTTAGTCCATTTATATTTAAAGTTAATATTGTTATGTGTGAATTTGATCCTGTCATTATGATGATAGCTGGTGATTTTGCTCGTTAGTTGATGCAGTTTCTTCCTAGTCTCGATGGTCTTTACATTGTGGCATGATTTTGCAGCGGCTGGTACCGGTTGTTCCTTTCCATGTTTAGTGCTTCCTTCAGGAGCTCTTTTAGGGCAGGCCTGGTGGTGACAAAATCGGTCAGCATTTGCTTGTCTGTAAAGTATTTTATTTCTCCTTCACTTATGAAGCTTAGTTTGGCTGGATATGAAATTCTGGTTTGAAAATTCTTTTCTTTAAGAATGTTGAATATTGGCCCCCACTCTCTTCTGGCTTGTAGGGTTTCTGCCGAGAGATCCGCTGTTAGTCTGATGGGCTTCCCTTTGAGGGTAACCCGACCTTTCTCTCTGGCTGCCCTTAACATTTTTTCCTTCATTTCAACTTTGGTGAATCTGACAATTATGTGTCTTGGAGTTGCTCTTCTTGAGGAGTATCTTTGTGGCGTTCTCTGTATTTCCTGAATCTGAACGTTGGCCTGCCTTGCTAGATTGGGGAAGTTCTCCTGGATAATATCCTGCAGCGTGTTTTCCAACTTGGTTCCATTCTCCCCATCACTTTCAGGTACACCAATCAGACATAGATTTGGTCTTTTCACATAGTCCCATATTTCTTGGAGGCTTTGCTCATTTCTTTTTATTCTTTTTTCTCTAAACTTCCCTTCTCACTTCATTTCATTCATTTCATCTTCCATTGCTGATACCCTTTCTTCCAGTTGATCACATCGGCTCCTGAGGCTTCTGCATTCTTCACGTAGTTCTCGAGCCTTGGTTTTCAGCTCCATCAGCTCCTTTAAGCACTTCTCTGTATTGGTTATTCTAGTTATACATTCTTCTAAATTTTTTTCAAAGTTTTCAACTTCTTTGCCTTTGGTTTGAATGTCCTCCTGTAGCTCAGAGTAATTTGATCGTCTGAAGCCTTCTTCTCTCAGCTCGTCAAAGTCATTCTCCATCCAGCTTTGTTCTGTTGCTGGTGAGGAACTGCGTTCCTTTGAAGGAGGAGAGGCGCTCTGCGTTTTAGAGTTTCCAGTTTTTCTGTTCTATTTTTTCCCCATCTTTGTGGTTTTATCTACTTTTGGTCTTTGATGATGGTGAGGTACAGATGGGTTTTCGGTGTGGATGTCCTTTCTGTTTGTTAGTTTTCCTTCTAACAGACAGGACCCTCAGCTGCAAGTCTGTTGGAATACCCTGCTGTGTGAGGTGTCAGTGTGCCCCTGCTGGGGGGTGCCTCCCAGTTAGGCTGCTCGGGGGTCAGGGGTCAGGGACCCACTTGAGGAGGCAGTCTGCCGGTTCTCAGATCTCCAGCTGCGTGCTGGGAGAACCACTGCTCTCTTCAAAGCTGTCAGACAGGGACATTTAAGTCTGCAGAGGTTACTGCTGTCTTTTTGTTTGTCTGTGCCCTGCCCCCAGAGGTGGAGCCTACAGAGGCAGGCAGGCCTCCTTGAGCTGTGGTGGGCTCCACCCAGTTCGAGCTTCCTGGCTGCTTTGTTTACCTAATCAAGCCTGGGCAATGGCGGGCGCCCCTCCCCCAGCCTCGTTGCCGCCTTGCAGTTTGATCTCAGACTGCTGTGCTAGCAATCAGCGAGACTCCGTGGGCGTAGGACCCTCCGAGCCAGGTGTGGGATATAGACTCGTGGTGCGCCGTTTTTTAAGCCGGTCTGAAAAGCGCAATATTCGGGTGGGAGTGACCCGATTTTCCAGGTGCGTCCGTCACCCCTTTCTTTGACTCGGAAAGGGAACTCCCTGACCCCTTGCGCTTCCCAGGTGAGGCAATGCCTCGCCCTGCTTCGGCTCGCGCACGGTGCGCGCACCCACTGGCCTGCGCCCACTGTCTGGCACTCCCTAGTGAGATGCACCCGGTACCTCAGATGGAAATGCAGAAATCACCGGTCTTCTGCGTCGCTCATGCTGGGAGCTGTAGACTGGAGCTGTTCCTATTCGGCCATCTTGGCTCCTCCCCTATACAAACTCTTCTAAACTCTTTTGTTTGTTTGTTTTTTGAGACAGAGTCTCACTCTGTCACCCAGGCTGGAGTGCAGTGGCACGATCTTGGCTCACTGCAACCTCTGCCTCCTGGGTTCAAGCAGTTCTTGTGCCTCAACCTCCCCAGTAGCTGGGAATACAGGCGTGCACCACCACATCCAGCTAATTTTCTGTATTTTTAGTAGAGACGGGGTTTCACCGTGTTGGCCAGGCTGATTTCAAACTCCTGGCCTCGATCAGTCTGACTGCCTCAGGCTCTCAAAATGCTGGGATTACAGGCGTGAGCCACCCTGCCTGTCCGGTTTCTAAACTTTTTGATAAGCAATAGTTTCTAAACTTTTTGCATCCTAATCAGTAAAAGTATTTTTGCCATGCAATTCCAAAATTGCATGGCAAAGATTAATAAGTTATGTAAGTGTATTACTGTAAGATATATTCCTTACAAAACATTTTTCCCAAAACAAATTTTAAAGGGGAGATAAATATTAAATTTTAAGGTAAATCATACATTTATTTTATAATGATTAAAACTTTTTATCAATATTAATACCTTTATTACTTAACATTATTAATATTAACATTAAAAGTTTTACTGAAAGTAATGGTATTTGAATATGTCACCTGATTGGTTGGTCATTGTTTGTAACTGCATAGGACTTGCTAATTTTCTACTACCATGGTAAGGCTTATAGTTGATCTTCAATATTAATGGTATATACTTTCTGTCAGGACCTGCAAACAAAAATTAAATAAACTGCCTACAGCTCTAGGATTTTCTGATTGATTCACACAGTCACAAGATGTTGGAAGATGGTAAATTTAGTGTTTTTAATTCCAGACAAAAACCACTGTGGTTCATTTAAGCAGGAAGGTTTTATTAAAAGATTTCAGACAGTTTACAGATCTTTGGGAGGAACAGAGAACCGGGCTTGGTTGCTTCACATAGCAACTAGAAGAAATGCCCTTCCACAGCACAGGACTGGCCTAACCAAACACTGCATCTGTCCCTGCTTACTTCTCAACATGAATGATGCTTAGGACAGAATGACAGAATCTCCAGCACAGCTGCCCCAGGAACTCCTGGTGCCTCTGCCTCTGAGCTTCAGGGAGGTTCACTTGCCCCTAGGGAACACTGACTCACACTGATCATTTTGCCTCCACATCTCTGAAAGTGTGTCTGCTATTAGGCTATTTGTTGAGACTAATTGCAATGAAGAGGGTAGGTCTAGCCATGCTGTTTGCCAACAAATCCTGGTAAGGAGAAGGGCTGTACTTTGTAGGATGGCTGGTAATGAAGAAAGAGCTGCACCCCTTTAAGGAGGGGCCAGAGTCCAAGAAGGCAAAGCTTGGCTGACAGCCTGTTCTGGAATCAGTCTTTGAGTGGTCCTGAACAAGAGGGTAGAATGGGCAATGGGGCTTCTGGGCCAGTAGCAGGGCTCAGCTTCTAGTGAATGGCTTGGCTGCCGTAGGCCAGATAGGCATGTTAGAGTCAGTATGAGGGATGATAGAGGCAAGGTTTGGCCTCAAGAAAAGAGAGTAACAATAATGAGTTAGGAGACCACTGTTCTCAGCCAACCAGTTTGGGTTCAGGCTTACAGGACAGAGAGCAAGTAAGACACACAAAACGAGTGTGAGCCAAATGCTCAAAACATGTCCGGAAGCTGAAATCCACTTGAAACCCAGTTTTGATTCTGGACACAGGAACAGCCGTCTAGCACCAGACTCTTATCACTGGGGAAAAGGAGCTATCACTGTCCCAATCTGTAGAGGTTTTAGAACTTACTAGGCTATAGTGGTCCCTACCAGACAGGCCAAATAGAAGCTATGCTTATTTATTGCTGCACAATAAATCACCCCAACATAGTGGTGTAAAACAATAATCATTTTATTACACTCATGTGTCTTTGCTCCACAATATCTGGGACCTCAGCTGGAAAGACTCAAATGCCTGGGGACAACTCAAAATGCTGGGAGTTGAACTCATCTGGGGACATCGTCACTCATCTACCTGGCTTGTATGCTGGAATAGCTCAAAAGCTAGGTTCAGCTGTGACTATTGGCCAGAGAACCTAGTGAGGGCTCTCTTTGTGAACTGGGCTTCTCACAGCATGGCTGCTGGGTTCTGAGATGAAGCACTCAAGAGGGAGCCTGCAGAGAGCAAATGTACCAAAAAACCTAGGCAGAAGCTGCATGAGCTTTTATAGCCAAACCTTAGAAGTCATTTAACATCACCCTGCACCACTCTGTCGGTTGAAGCCATCACAAACCCATCCAGATTCATGTAAAGGAGTCATAGATAGATCCCACGTCTCGATGGGAAGAATGTCAAAACATTTGCGATCATGTTATGAAACTGCCACTAGGAAAGAAGAAGTGAAAGAGTAAAGTTTAAAAACACATTAGCTGCATATAAATATTGACTAAAACTTGAATAACCTAGCTTAGTTTATTTAAAAAAAAAACATACTGAAGACTTATCCTGTACCAAGTTCTGTGCAAAGGGCCTGGGATACAGAGCTAAGGAAGAGCCCTCAAGGAGCTTACAATCCACTGGAGAAAACAGATGTATATGCTTTATTGTAACTGAGGGTCAAATGAGGAAACTGAATGAAGACAGATAGTATAAGAGTGTTAAGAACACATGGACACAGGAAGGGGAACATCACACTCTGGGGACTGTTGTGGGGTGGGGGGAGCGGGGAGGGATAGCTTTAGGAGATATACCTAATGCTAAATGACGAGTTAATGGGTGCAGCACACCAGCATGGCATATGTATACATATGTAACTAACCTGCACATTGTGCACATGTACCCTAAAACTTAAAGTATAATAATAATAAAAGAAAAAAAAAGAGTGTTATGATAACCTACAAGAAGGAATAATTAGCATGGTGAAGAGGCCGTGTTGTCTAAAGGGAGGTATATGAGGTTAGAAATTGGTCAGACCTTAATTTGAATGTTACCTTCATCACTTGTTAGATTGAACCATGCAAAACTACTTTGTTGTGGATAAAAAACTAGTTGACTATCAGCAATTTAATGTGGCTCAATGTACTACTGGCTAAGCCACCTCAAAAAGTTACTTAACTTCTGGGAATATCAGTTTCTTGACCAGTAAACTGAGGTTAAAAATGTCTTAGAGTTATTTGCAAAAATAAGGTAACATATGCAAAATACCAGTATAATGCTTAACACAGGGTAAGCACTTAATAAATAGTTGTTGTTCTGTAATTATTCTTCTTCGTATTTTTCACTTTGACCACTGGTTTAATATAATCATTATTATCATGGAAAACATTAGGGACAACACTGAATCTGAGACGACAATTGAAGGCTGAATATGATTTTGATGACTAGTGAAGAAAGGTAGAACAAAAGATTTTAGGCTGATCAAAAACATGTGAAAAAGCTATTTTTGTGATTCTACTTATAGGTGACACTCAGTTCTGCCTTTGTTTTGGGAGTCAGATATTTCGTTTAAATAAAAGGATTCAAGAAAAAAGTGCAACTGAAATTCACTAACAGCAAATCACCACAGGTATTTTCAGGTCTAGGCTTCCCAGTGTTTTTATGGAGTAAATAATCTGCAATCCTTCCCTTCACAAACCACTGAGGCATTCTGCTTAAAAACTAATCAATGCTCTTGAAAAACGTTAAGGAAAGTCTCTGGGGCTCAACACAATGGGAATCAAAATCCTGGCAGCCTATGGTTGTGGAAGGGGAGACAAGAGCCTTGAGAATTCAGGGCATAGGTTTCAAAACTCTCATGGAGTTAGGACATAAAGCTCTGGCCCAACATGAATTGGGGAGATAAAAACTGATACCCTTGCATAAATCTGGGTCTCAAAGGGCTACGTAATCAGTGAAATGCTGGTCTAGAAAATCATCAGCTCACTAGAAAAAGAAATAAGGAAGATTCTATCTCATCTGGCCTCTGGGTTAAAAAAAAAAAAGTGTCCCCTGACAATTCTTTCCAACAGGCCTACTATCACTTACATCTGTGGTTCTAATTACATTTCCTCCATAGTTTGGGAAAAGCCAGGCTGATAAATTAGTGAAAAAATTGATAACACTGAAGCATCTAACAAAAGCAAAGGTAAAATCATTGTGAAAGGATATGTCAAGTAATTTTAAACATGATTTCCACAGAGAAAATCTTGTTGAAGGTGAACTCACAACTTAAAATTCTAAAGTATGGCAAAACAATTTTTCTGAGTAATGATTAGTAGGTACAACAAACAGAAGGATTAAAAAGATCCCATGGCCAGGCGTGGTGGCTCACACCTGTAATCTCAGCACTTTGGGAGGCTGAGGCGGGTGGATCACCTAAGGTCAGGAGTTCGAGACCAGCCTGACCAACGTGGAGAAACCCCGTCTCTACAAAAAATACAAAATTAGCTGGGCTTGGTGGCACATGCCTATAATCCCTTGGGAGGATTGAGGGAGGCTGAGGCAGGAGAATCACTTGAACCTGGGAGGCAGAGGTTGCAGTGAGCTGAAATCGTGCCATTGCACTCCAGCCTGGAAACAAGAGTGAAACTCCATCTCAAAAAAAAAAGAAAAAAAAATCCCTAGGAACTTCAGATAATAGAGCTGTCAGATAAAATAAATATATTTGAAATGTTTAAAAACTTAACCTGGCCAGGTGCGGTGGCTCATGCCTGTAATCCCAGCACATTGGGAGGCAGAGGCAGGCAGGTTGCTTGAGCCCAGGAGTTCGAGACCAGCCTGGCCAACATGGTGAAACCCCGTCTCTACTAAAAATACAAAAATTTGCCAGGCATCATGGTGCACTCCTGTCATCCCAGCTACACAGGGGGTTGAAGCAGGAGAATCACTTGAACCTGGGAGACAAAGTTTGCAGTGAGCTGAGATCATGCAACTGCACTGCAGCCTGGGTAACGGAGCAAGATTGTCTGGAAAAAAAAAAAAACAAAAAACCCAAAACCAAAACAAAAAACAAAAAAAATCCCAAGAACTGAACTGTAAGATAAAAAAGACAAGACAGTGTGAAAAGATAACAGGCACATTTTAAAAAAGAATCAAATATAAATTATGGAAATTTAAAAAATAATTAAGATAAAAAATTTAATCGTCAGTTTAAATAGCTTATTAGATACAGAGAAAGAGAGAATTAGAAAACTTGAATATAAACTTGAGGAAATTATTCAGAAGTAAGCACAAGATAATAGAGAGAATCTATGAAAGAGAGGCTAATAAATACAGAAGATAGAGCAAGAAGATCTAACATATATCTAATCAGATAACAGGAAAAAAGAATTGAGAGGGTGAAGAAAAAGCAATATTTAAAAAGGTAATGGTTGAGGATTTTCTCAAATTGTTTAAAAATTAGAATCCTTACATTTAGACAGTACAATTTTTGAGCAAAATATGCCTTAGCAGTGGAAGACAAGAAGAGTTGATATAAATATCCCCTCAAGGAATTTATAGCCTATGAAGAGAGATCATAGAGATACAGACAAAACCAACATGTAAAACTAAGATGCCATAGGAGATTGTGATTGTGATGGGGAGAGATTGTTTTTCCACTTGAAACAACATATCAGAACTTTAGGGGAGGAGGTGATATTTGTTTTGAATCTCAAAAGATGGGTAGTCTGAACATGTGAAGAGGATGTGTAATTCACATTACTGCCTGCTTTATCTTCCTAAGGCAAATTCTGATAATGTCATTCCCCTATTCAGAATCTTCAGGATCTCTCAGTTGTCTTCAAGATAAAGCCTCAAAATTTTGCCATTCATTCCAAGCCTCTGTGGCATGTGTCCAACCTATCTTTCCAAACATATTTCCCATAAGTCCCTTCTTGAATTCCATAACATAGGCTGCCTAAAGTCCTTGCTGCTTCTGGTGCACATCTCATGTTTCCCCATCTCTCTTGCTATTTCCCCAGTGTAGAACACCTTTGAATGAGAGGCAAAAATTTGGGGCTTTATCTTGACAATAACTGAGGGATCTTGAAACTTGTCATAGAAGAAAGACACTTTCAGAATAGTGCCTCAGGAAAGTTAAGCAGGCAGTGCTGTGTAGGGTAGACTAGAACAGGAGGTTCCTGTAGCTAAGTAGCCCTTGCTCCCTGCTTAAATATTGCCCCACTCTGGGAGGCACAAGAGACACCAGATTGCTCAATTGGTTTAATGAAGAAACCTGCATGATAGTTGATTCTGTAGAAATTTTGGACACAAATGTGAAAATCTCAGCCAAGCATTAACAGAACAGAAACAGATGCATCAAAATATCTTCACTATCTTGGCTTCTCTGCATTGGTGCTTCCACTGCAGCTAGAATTGAAGCTGTCTCCTAGAGCCCTTAAGAATAGCATATATCTTTATGAGTCCAATGTATCCAATTTCAGAGTTCCAGTTCAATGTCAAACAGCTAAGTGAAAACCTGGATATGAGTTAGATGGTGATTTTTTGCTGATAAACTATTACTTCTAAATGGGTGTAAGCCCAGACAAATTTTAGAATTATTCTTTTTTTTTGGAAGACAGAGTTTCACTCTGTTGCCCAGGGTGGAGTGCAGTGGCGTGATCATAGCTCATTGCAGTCTTGAACTCTCAGGCTCCCACCTCAGCCTCCCAAGTAGCTAGGACTACAGGTGTGCACCACCATGCCCAGCTAATTTTTTTTGTAAGACAGAGTCTTGCCATGTTGCCCAGGCTGGTCTCAAACTCCTGGGCTCAAGCAATCCTCCTTCCTTAGCCTCCCGAAGTGCTGGGGTTACAGGTATGAGTCACTGCACCTAGCCCTAGAATTATTTTTCAGTTTCTCTATGCAACAGAAAATTCTTCTCATTTCAAAAAGTGTATTTTTCAAGAGTGTTTATAAAGTTGATTTGAACACTTTACTATCAAAACCCAGTATAAGAGCATTATATTTTCTAAAATGTTTGAAGTCCAAATCTTATCATGTTCCTGGTTTCTAGTATATCTACATGAGCCCTCAAAGTAGATAATTCAATTAATGAGCCCTACAGTTTCTTCTGTGTACAATTGATCTGTACAGAAATTGTTTCTTTCCCAACCCCAGAATGGTGGTATGTTCCCTTGTCTTAATCTTTGAAAATGGACTTTTCATTATAAAACATTTGCTATGGGACATGCATCATCATTTTTAAAAACATAGCTTTACCTCAGTAGGTATGTTTCTGGGGAAAGTGAGTATAAATCAGATTTTTGTAAGTCAAATCATATTTTAAATGTCCCAGGGGAACTCATTATTTAATAAAATAGCATGAAGCGAATAATCACATTGTGATGTGGCTTTTCATAAAGCAGGGCACACCTGTATCACACTCTGTCATGGCTATAGGACTTCACTCCATAGCAGAGTTTGAGGGTTGCCAGGTCTAGCTTGGACCTAAGTCAAGGGAATTAAGTTATTGAGTACTGAGGATCTTGTTACAAGGAAGTCTCATTTATAAGCTGTCTCAGCATGGATCCTAAAGTTTGTGCTTTAAAAAGATGTGGAAAGTCTGCTATACTTGTAAGTTTAAAAGTATATTAAGCAAATTAAGTTGCTTTATGTCTATATTTTCTCATGTCAACCATAATCACTTGTTTGTTTGAGTAAAGAATTTAAAAGTCCTGTAGGTGTTAATTTTACAAATCTTTTATTTCCTGGCAGGAATCTAGACTTAGTAAATAGTTTCATGTATTGAAAGTATGGGCAACAACCAAATTTATGGAAGTGAAAATGTAAGAAACACTGAACAAATTTAAAAGCATGTAAAAATAATTTTAAAAGAAAGAAGAGAGAAAGAGCGCTTATTCCATTGAAAACCACTTTCTCTTTGAATTGTCTTTGTGGCTTCCATCTCACAGGGAGAGAATATGGTAATATAAAAACATTACACATCTTCAAATACTGACTTTGTATATATTGTGCAGAAATTCTTGCAATCTTAAGGCCACGGGAGGAGCAATGCCTCTGTCAGTGAGTCTCACCAGCCCTCAGCATGTGGCCCAGGTCCTGCTGCCACAGGCTGACTGGGAGATGGTCAGGACTCTGCTTGTACGAGATGAACTGAGTGTAGTGTTGACTTATATGAAACTGAGTTGTGAAAGCACAAGCACACAAGAATCCCTTAAAAATACATAGCTAAGGGGCCGGGCATGGTGGCTCATTCCTGTAATCCCAGCACTTTGGGAGGCCGAGGGAGGCGGATCACCTGAGGTCAGGAGTTCAAGACCAGCCTGGCCAACATGGCGAAACCATGTCTCAACTAAATATACATAATTAGCTGGGCCTCATGGTGTGTGCCTGTAATTCTAGCTACTCAGGAGGTTCAGGCAGGAGAATTGCTTGAACCCGGGAGGCAGAGGTTTCAGTGAGCCGAGATCGTGCCACTGCACTCCAGCCTGGGTGACAGAGCGAGACTCCATCTCAAAACAAAGCAAAACAAAACAACAACAACAACAACAACAAAAAACAAACCAAAAACCATAGCTAAAACCATTCTCTCTCTCCTCTCTCTCTCTCTCTCTCACACACATACACACACACATGTGCATTTAAACTGAAATGTTAATATCTAATTGTACCAGTCAGTTCTATGTATGTCAAAGTCCTCAGGCTTCAGCTACTTGAGGGGCAGTCTGCTGACTAAAGGCAACTATCTTATTGCAGATGGGAATGGGAAGAGCAGTATCCAAGACCCCTGACTCTCTCTCTCTGTCTCTCTCACACACAGACATGCACACACACACGCACACCCTCGTTATTTTGCCGACTATGAAATGTTAGAGCTTAGAGCTCTAAATAGCTCCATTTATTAAATTCCTACTATGTAGCAGGCGCCATACTAGGTGCTTTGTATACATTGTCTTTAATTATCACAAGTATTCTGCAAGATGTACATACTTATTCTAATAATACAGGGGAGGTAACTGGGACTCAGAGAGGTTCAATAATTTGCCTAAAGTTATGCAACTGGTAAAAGGGAGGACTGGGATTTGTACCTCCAGTGGTTTGATACTTAAGGTGTTTCAACTCAATCTTGTGACCCCAGAATTTATCTAAGGTATAATGGCCCTGAAATCTGAATACTGCCATCTTTTCTTAACAATGGCAACCATGGCTTCCAAAGCATTTTTATATATTAATCCTATGTGGGAAGAAATGCCTATTTCCATGCTGCAGATGAAAAAACAAAGTGGAGAATATAAGGCATAATCTCTTTCAAGATGTCCACAGCTGAAAGGGGAAGGAAGATCTGTAAACAAAAAACTGTAATGTAAG
This sequence comes from Homo sapiens, assembly GCF_000001405.40. Lineage (NCBI taxonomy): Eukaryota > Metazoa > Chordata > Mammalia > Primates > Hominidae > Homo > Homo sapiens. The sequence goes on along the minus strand of NC_000003.12, from coordinate 169,670,202 downwards.
GAGGGAGAAATAAAAGCCATAGACTTGGCAGCAAAATACTGAATGGGTGAGGGGGGCTTGAGGAAAGTGGCTGGAAGAGATGTCAATCAGACAAGAATCAAGGAAGCCTTGCAGGTGGCATTTGGCCCCTAAGCTCAGTGGTCAATGCATGTTAGTCTAGGGTTTCTGCAGTGGGCCAGAGGAGATGTAGCGTTTACGTGGATAGGTTCGTTGACTCCATCCTCTCCCGTGACCACGGCAGAAAGCAGGATTTGAAATGAAGTTCAATCACAGAGGCGTCCTGATTTAAGACAGAAGAAAGAAAACCTGGCCAGGCACATTCTATTGCAGTGCATCTCCAACTTCAACGTTCTAGTGAATCACTTGTTAAAATGTCAATTTTGATTTAGTAGGTTTGGTTGGGGCCTGAGATCTTGAGTTTCTATTGAAATCCTGGCGATGCTTGATGTTGCTGGTCTGCGACTACACTTCGAGGAGCATCTGCATCACCTAGGAGCCTGTTGAGAAATGTTGGGCCCCACCCCAGGCTTACTGAATCAGAATCTGCATTTTAACAAGATTCCCAGGCGATTCGTATGCACATTACACTTTGAGAAATACTCTTCCAAGTAATTCTTTTTTCAATGGAAGGGACCCCAAGAGGTCCAAACTTCCCAGGGCATCGCTCAGGAACAGTCTGGTTTCTTTCCGGAGCTCAAGTTCCGTGCCCCGTGAAGTTGCTCCTCCTGATTCTAAACCGGTAGCAGCTCCAGGAGTTTGCTCGCCTCATAATCCTCCTTGCTGGGTTCCTTTCCACCCCAACCCGCGCCTCCCCGGGGCGCTCCAGCTGTTTCCCACCCCCACGCCCAGGCGGCTACTGTGCACAGCTGGAGCCCTAAGCGGCGTGAGCACCAGAGCTGCCGCGGCCAAAGAAACCAGGCGAGGGCGCCGCAGACTAGGCTGTGCGGGAGGAGGCCGCGCCGAGCCCGGAGAGGGCGGCCAGAGCGGCTGGTGGGGGACCGCGAGCTTAGCACCTGGTGCCAATAGGCACGGCCCTGGCGCGGCCCCACATTCCCACACTGCAGGAACCTAGGCTCGCCACCTGGGAGGCGGCGCGCATCACTCCAACCTGCGTTTCATAAACCCTTCGGGAAATGGTTCTTCAACCCCATGGGCTAGTAATCAGCCCGACGTTCTCTCCAAAGAACTGCTGATTATAATTCCCGAGCGGGGCGGGGGCCCAGATTTTAAATCGACTATTTAATGTCATCATCGTCATTATTATTAAAAGCCAGCTACCCTGACCGCTCCCTGCTCCCCGTACCTTATATACACATCAGAAGTTGGATGGGAGGATGTTGAACTAGGGGGAGGGAGTAGGATTGTAAAACCGAATGATTTGCTAAGAAATCTGGGACCGAAAACGCAATTTACAAAACGGCAAGTTTTACGAGGTAGAGAAGGTAACTGGGCAGAAATCGCCCGGCCGCCGAACACCAGCTGCGCGTACTCGCTGAGCCGGCTGGTCCCGAGCGCGCCTCGCTGTGCCATGCCGCCCCGGCAGCGCGAGGATTTCGCAGGAAGAGGAGGCTGTTCCGTGTCTCAGGCCCCGGCGTCGAGACGCTGTGGAGAGGGGTGCCCCCAGCCGCCCCGCGCCCTTTGCGGCCCGTGGCTCCCTTTCCCTGGCTGGACGTGGAAGCCGAGCTAGCCCTGAGCTGTCGCCTCGCCGGCGTTCAAAGCGCGCATTTCTCTGCAAGCTTCCCTTTTAGGGCAAAGCGTGGCGGATCATTCAAAGTTAACACCTTCATGCAGCCGCTGCTGCCTGGATGTGTGCTTATATGTGTATGTGTGTGTATTTCTCTGACAATGTCAGACAAATCAGGTAGCTTTAACATTAAAGCCTACGTGTTCTATCTCGAGGCTTATCAGGTTTGTTCAAACTTTTGTGAGTGTGTGTGTGTGAGTGCGCGCGTGTCTCCACCCTCCTCTCGCTCCCCCAGCCCCACCCCCACCCCGCCTGTGCAGGGCGAAGTAGTCCTATATAGCGATGATAAATATCCCTGTTGATCACTTGATTGATTACCTCCCTGAAAGGTCACGCGGGCTCGCAGTAATTTCCTTTTGCCTAAGGCTCCCTTTTCACTTTTACTCCGGCACGACAGCTCCGAGTACACAGGATCTTTATTTTTTATTTTAACCCCTAAATGCAACCCCTCCCGAAAACAATGCAGACAAGAAAAATCGAATAAAATCAACTCGAGACCTTTTCGCTCACTCTCAGCCTCCCTCCCCATCTTGCTCCATTCTTTCTTGTCGCCCCTGCTCCCTCCTACTTCAGCCCCCCTCCTCAACTCAAATGTATTCTGGACACTATTTAATAGATGAGTGTCTTGCAAGTAAACTCAGGCGTCCCTTGGGTCTGCATTTCATGTCTGTGACTCTCTCCCTTTCTCTCCTGTGGACTGAAAATTCGGATTTAAACCACTAGACAAGCTATTAATTTAGCTAGGCTACCCAGGGTCCTGAACCCAATTAATTTCTAATAATTATAGCCCAAGGGGGCTAGATAGATCTCCCTGCCTCTTTCTTTTATTGCCACTCCACGCCACCGAGGTCAGCGTATAATAAAGTGTGTATTTTGAAAGCGATCTCCAGAACAGTGAGTTATTGCAATGAATGAAAATTGTTTCCATTTTGGCTAATTGAGCCGGTGGCCGAAAGCTGGAGCCCTGAGACTAAATAAAGAGGACTGTTTCATTTCAACATGAAGAAACCCCTGCCTAGCTCTGGTCACCCAGCGAGAGTTTAATTTCTTAACAGCCAACCTGAAACCCAGCATTGGGTAAACAGTATTAATAATTGCATTACAATGATTAAATTAATCTTGCTGGTAGCCAGGAGAATATAGGTTGTGATTGAATAGCATGATGTAAAGTTCACTGCACAAAGACAATAGGCCTCGAAATACCTCCATAAAGAATTCAAACTTTCTTCCAAAGATACCGTGGGGCCGGTTCAATTAAAATGAGAGGAAAGGAAAACTTCCTGTTGCATGTAATGTATTGAAAATCGGTTATTTGCCATTTCTAACATTAATTTAAAAAATATAGTTGGGGAAGGGATATACTTGTCTGTGTCTTTCTCATCAATGTCCCATTTTCCTTCTAACTTCTATCTCAATCTCTTCACTTCTGCTAAACAAACAAAAACACGAAACAAAAAGTGACAGCAATAAAACAAGCAAACCCAGACAGTCTGTAAACCCATCGACTTTCCAACGAGGCACTGCTTCCAGGATGCTCGCTTCCGTGGGAGAAAACACAAGGAAACGTTGGAATGCATGCTACTGTCCCCCAAGAAAACGAATTTCAGGAGGAGAGGGAAAGGCGAGAGGTGGGGTGGGGGCGGGTAGCTAGGGCAGCTCCGCCAACTTGTTGGAGGCCTCTTTTCTCTTGGGCCAGCGACAGCTCAGACATCCCGTCAGAGGGTGTCGGGAACTCTAGGGGCTGCTGAACAGTCACCTGCTCTGGTCTCACGGCTGGGACTGGGACAGGTGGAAGTGACAGGGTCCAGGCACTTGAGAATGGGAACCGGCCGGGGCGGACGCGCAGAGGTCGCGGCGCTATCAGCCGCGAGCGCGACCGGTTGCTGCTGGGTGTTTGCTCCATCAGGTTAAACACACTTGAACTAGCAACTTAGCTCTTTATTAGCGCACACTTAGGGCAGAAAGCTAATGATAAAGAAAGAAAAAGAAAAGGAGAGAAAAGGAAAAGAAGCCCAGCTTTTAGGTTTGAAAATAAAAAACGAATGATATTGAGAATACTTTTATTTATTTAAAAGACGATGTCTTGTCTTTTCACAATGGCTTGGTCTGGGGACAGAGAAGAGTTTGCGTTTATTATTTGTTAGAAGGGGTTGGATTTTCTCGTGGCCCGAAACTGTTAGAAAGACCAGGGAGAAAGCTGGAGCGCTGAAGCGACAGCGGAGACTTCAAACCAGAAGGGGAGGGGTACTCCAGCCGCGCCTCATTCCGCCTCCCACTCCGCCAACCCCCCTTCTAGAAAAGTTTAAAAGACGGGGACCTTTAAATTTGGAGGTTCGGAGACTCCGATTCACTTCAGTCTTCCACCTCCCACCCAGTTCCCCTCACAGAACCCACCCCCTACCTCCCCAACCCTCCACGTGGTTTATAATTTCTCAGCAGCAACAGCAAGCTCAGCTTCACATGTGGGTCTTGCATTTAATCTCAGAGTTTGGTACCTTGGTCCCCTCCTTTCCTAGGAACATTTCTTGCACCCCTCTTAACCTCCCGTCTCCAAGGGAACCTAGACATAGACAGACCCCCTGGGGATGAGGTGAAAGGGATTAGCCGGAGGAGTGGAGGGGAGGATGGCGGTTCTTTTCTTTTTTCTTTTCTTCTCTTTCTTTTTTTTTTTTAAGCTACCTTGGCGGTTGGGCACCAAGGCAAGGTGCTCAGCCACCCCTGGGGTGCCTGGCAGGGAAGGTGAGGATTGGAGGGACAAGACCTAGATTTTGACAGCTGGGATCTTCAGGTGCTGCTGGTCTGTCCCCTGGCCTAGGGGATGGTCCCTAGAGAGTCTCTTACACCGATCAGAAGCAGCCTTATGAACTTCTTGCCAGTCAGCCTAGTGTTTGTCTCTCCCTAGAGATTTTGTCCCCCCTTCCAAAGCCTCTCAAGACCCATTTCTCCGTTTCCTCGGAGGACATTTGCTGGTCAGAGGGTAGGCACCTCTCCATCTAAACTGAGGGAAGCTGGTGGAGTCACATTTTGGGGGAAGTTTCAGAGTCAAAGACCTGTGTGAACCTAACAGAATGTTGGAATGGCTGGTGCTTTTGCACACACCAAATGTGTTAGCACACTCACCTTTATGCACAGGACAGCGGGAATTCTAGGTCTGGAAAAAAACCCAGGTGCCTCTTTAATTCAGAGTGGATAATAGAGTTCTCTTGTGCCCACGCGTGTGGGCACTAGAGCCTTCTCTTTTGGAAGTTGTTTTACTCCTGTTGTGAGTAATTCCCTCCTTTACCTTCCTACTTCCCTTCCTCACATTTCAACCTTATACATCTGTCTCCCTTGAGACCTGTAGCTTGGTTCTCCAGGGACCTCTATCTTACAGCCAAATGCCCCCAGAATTACACAGCTCTGGATAAAGGAAAATGGTAGGCATCCTTAACAAGGACAAATTCTTTGAACTTTGATTCTCTTGAATAAAGAGATTTGCAGGCCATTGATACCCTTTGGGGTTGAACCTTGTTATTTGCTCTCTCATGTCTGCAGTCCTAGATTTGATAATAAATACCAACAGGTACGACTGGGCATTCTCAATGATTCCCCTTTCCCTCCACAGCCTTTGCCAAACTCATGCCCAGGACCTGCTTTTCTTTTCCTTTAACTTGAACATCAAGGATGTATTGTTGCAGCACGGAGACTGAAAAGATTGTAATTTTCTTTTATGGTGTCTGGCAGGATTTGCAACAGATATTAATGGGGACATAAATAGCACATGGAAGGTATTGAACAAAACTGTTTAATGCAAGAAGGTTGTACCAAAAGAAAATCTATACCTAGTTGGGATTGATTCATACCTTGTACACAGCTAGCCCCTTTAGGAATTCCCATTTCTGAGTGGCACTTCATTGGTAAATCCTGTAATTAAAGGAAATTTCAACAATGTATTTTTTTAAGAGTGTGTGATTTTCCTCCCTACTCCTCTTTCTTTTGACCCCGAGGTTGTAGGTTTAAGCGAGTGAGTGAAAATGGCAGGCAAGCAGAGCTGCATCGGGAGGCGACCGGGGCAGCAGTGGGGGAGGCCGGAAGGTGACAGCCGACCTCTGAGAAAGCAGGAGGTCTTTGGATGTCAAATGCCAGCGCCGGCCCGGACCCGGGAATCAAGGGTGATCATTACTACTTGGTAGGGAAAGAATACTGAAATGTCCCAAGGATGGCAGCAAGCATTGGTATTACAGCTAAAATCGAGGAAAAAACCAGTTATTTATTCTGCTTACAACCCTGAAAGCGGAAGCTGCAATAGCTTCAGTAGCAGTAGCAGCGGCAGCAGTAGATTTCTCAAGTTCAGGATGATTCTCACTTTCTCCTGGATTATTAGCCGAGGGTCCAGCCCTTCTAGTTCTTTAACAGGAGAAGGGTTTTTAAAAAATGTTTTTAAAGTTTTTTTCCCCCCTGGCTTCTTGCTTCCCTCGTAGATGGTATAGAAAAATGTCTGCAATTTATGGTGGGAAAAACAATAACAATAATCATGATACAAGCTTGTTGGCGATTCTAACATGGAATCAATCCTCTGCCCAAGCCTTTTCAATTCCCCCCTCCCCTTTTTTTGGGCGAGGTGTCTGCTCCCCTCTGGCTCCCTGCGTTCGCTCCCCGCCCCCCGCCGCCCTCCCCGCGGCTCCCTTTCTCCGCCTCCTCGGCGATTGCCATCTGACAAGATCTCCAAATCAAAGTGATAAATCGCTCCAAACTTTTTTTGGCGGCGCTGAGATGTTGGAGGGGCGTCTAGCGCGCATGTGCGAAGGTGTCCAAACTGACAATGCTGGAGAGATAGCGAGTGTGGATTGAGAGAAAGGGAGAGAGGGAGGGAGAGAGAGTGAAAGAAGAAAATACAGAGAGTGAGTGTGTGGAAGAGAGAGAGAAACAGGAGAGAAACAGGAGGGAGGGAGAGAGAGAGAGAGAGAGAGAGAGAGAGAGAGAGAGAGAGAGAGAGAGAGAGAGACAGGAGAGAGAGGGAGGGAGCGAGAGGGAGAGCAAAAGAAGGAAAGGATCCAAGAAAAAAAAGCCCCAACCACACACCAGCGGCTGCAGGACTGGGCACAGCATGAGATCCAAAGGCAGGGCAAGGAAACTGGCCACAAGTAGGTGCAATATCCCTTTTCTATTGGCTTTTCCCCCTCCTCTGCCATCTTGCATATCTGTCTCTAGCGCTCCGGGAGGGAGCGCGGGCTGCCTCTTGCGCCGGGGCCCCGGGTGGAGGGCAGGCGGAGCGCAGCCCCAGCAACCTGCCGGTTCCAGTCTCTGCTCCCGGTCGCCCGCGCTCTCGCTCCCGGGTTGGGCGCCGGAGGAGCCTGGGCAGCCCTCAGTCCCGCGCACCGACCAGCTGTGGCAACCCCGGGGTGGGGGTGGGGGTGGGGGCAGCAAAGACTAGGGGTGGGAGGGAGGAGAGAGCGCGAGAGTGAGCGCGAAGGGGTGGGGTGGGGGGGAAGAGAAGAGGAGAAAGTCTCCCCCTCCCCTCCCCTTCCCCCCAGGCGGGGGAGAGTTGCCTCTGGCCAACCAGCTAGTCCCGGGTGTGGGAGGAGGGGGGCGCGGGGGATGGGGGGCCGGCAGGAGAAGGGAGCCTTTTCGAGCCTCGGTTTGTTTCTGGGGTTTGGGTAGGGTAGGCGGCTCAGAGGGAGCCACAGTGGCGGCGGCGGCGGGCGGCTGTGGTGGACTTGGGAAAAGTTGCGAGGCGGCCGCTGGAAGTTGCGCGGGCGGGCGGGTGGACTGCGCCGAGCCGCGGCTGCGGTAGTGGGCGCTGTGCGCTCGGCCATGCTCTCCGGCGCGGCGCTGCGCGGCGGGAGGACTGCGGCGGGGAGTAGGGGACACCAAGGTGGGGGCTGTGATCGCGGGGTGGGGGCGGGGGCACGGGCAGAGCAGAGCTACCGGCTCCGCACAGCCACGCGCAGGTGGGGAGGAAAGAGGCCCAGCGAGCGCTCGGACGTGGGGAGAGAAGAGGCCCAGCGAGCGCTCGGAGAGCCGGGAGTGGAGGGCACACAGCCAGCGGCGGCAGCCTAGGAGCAGGAGGCAGAGAGGGCGCGCTGCGACCCGCGCACCTCGGGCTTGCTGGGCGCCGAGCAAACCCCAGGGGGCGGGCTGCCAGAGCGTTGGGCCGCGGAGAGGGCGCAGCGCAGCCTCCGGCGCTTCGTCTGGGTGCAGCCTGGGTCCAGGGTCAATAACCCTCCCCGGCGCCCCCTGCCTGCCCGGCGCGGAGCGGCCTTGGTCTGGCGGGATGTGGGCTAAGGGGTTTGGGGAGGGGGCGGTGGGAGTCCCATCCCCCACTCTTACAGCAAAAGTGTTGGATGACTCGCCTGGCTTTGCCGGCGGGGCCCACACTTTCCCACACGGTGTGATGCTCCGCCAGGACTGTAGACGACAGGACTGCGTTTGTCCAAATGCTTCTACTTCGAGTTGAAGGGGACTCAGGGACACTGAGCCCCGGAGCGGCTGGGAGCGCTCTTCCTTGAGGTGTCAATAGGCGGGGCTGGAGCTGCCTCGGGAGTGGACAGGCCGCGGTTCTCTCTCCCACACTCGCACTCGCCGAAAACAAAACTCTCTAATTGTGTTGTTTACGGAACGCAGAAATGAGAGATCGGAGATGGGTGGGATGCTTCTCCCCAGTGAAATCCCAGTCTCCCCCCGCGCGACCCTCGCACATTAGAACCAAATACGGTAGGTATCGTATCCACGCCTCCTTGCTCACTGCGTCCCTGCAGCAGCCCGGGAAGTCGGCGGCACCTCAGCAGGCTCGGCTTCGCGGGCATTGGAGTCGGCGGTGTAGCCCCGCGAGATGCTGTCATCCCAGGCGCCTTTCCAGTGCTTTGTGCAGTCCTCACCCAAGCACTCGTACACTCCCCGATACATTTCCTTTCCCCTGGGTCTGAGAAATCAACCTAAATATAGGGCTCTTTGGGTCATCAGTCCATCTGTTTCTCTTTTGGGTGTTGTTCTTTACACTCGCTGCTACAGTGTCAAAGGGCGCCGGTGGAACTGTTTTCCCTGTTTGCTTTTAAATGAGGCCGATGTCTTTATTTTCATCTGAAGGGAAATAAATGTACATATACTTGAGGTTTGCGGGCTTCGATTTGGACTAAAGGTTGGGAGAGAGAGAGAGTGTGTGTGTGGGGGGGGGAGTTGGCGGGAGTGGGATGGTGGGTGGGGGTGGGTAGCCCTTTTCAACCATGCCTAAGTTGTGAAGTGAAAGCTTAAGGCTTCGCGCCGCAACTCACTGCCCGATAACTTCTGAAGTGAAAGCAGAACACAAAACCCTTCGAATTTTCTTGAGCAACTTTTTCAACTATTTTAATTGCCAAGCAAGACATACGATGCCGTCTTAAAATATTCCCGCACGCACAGTCCACTCAGCATCCAGAAACTGAGCCTCGTTTCCGATCTGATGATACTTGTCATTCAACTGGTGGGAGACCCATTTATTTTGTCCCCAGGGTCTCTAAGGATGCCGCTGCCGCTTTCTGATAGCTAGATCTCAACTCTTACAAACTTTTACTGAGCCTCAGATTCCCGCTTGCACTACTCCAGCTGTTGCTGCCGCAGCTGCCTTTCCCAGACAGAAGCGCTGCGTTGCAATTCTTCAGTTACAATCTGGGTAATAAAGGAAATCATATTAAAACTACAGATTTTTGTATTTTAAAGCGCGATTTCCTTCCCCCGAGTAGCGCGTGGCGGAGATGGTTGGTGACCCCTGCGGTGCAATCATCCAACGAAAACTTCACTGCTCTGCACCAGTTTTTCTTTTTCTGGGTTTAGAAGGGGAGTTGTGACTACAATACTTTAAAAAACAAAACTACCTTTATTGTGGCAAGAGAAAACATTACAATGGAAACAAATTACATATAAATAGTTGTTTTCTCGGTAGCTTGTTGTTCTTTTTGTCTTTTGTAAATTTCTTTGGTGGTCTTAAGTCCTGATTTGGCCTTGACTACAGTACAGGAGCCCATGGACCTAGACCAGAGACCACGGACCCTGAAAATACCCACTGAATCTACACCGAGATTGAATGCACAACACAGTTTGCAACTTGTAAGGCTTGTATTTTATACAGTAGTTGAAACCGATAAATTCGTTGTAAATCATTTGGGAAGGTTAAAAAATTTAATTAAAAATAAAATGAAAGGCAGGAAGATTGACATTTGTAGTGCCTAACGCCCCTGAATTTTATTTCCATCTTTAAGAAAAGAAAACCAAAAGCCAAACCGACTCTGGCAGCGCGGGGAGACTTCCCAGCCGTTTTCTTGGGCAGCTAGGACAGCACCTGGGCCGTGCCAGAAATGCCAGTTGCTATGGTCCTGATGGATGGAAAGGAAGTGCAGGTTGGGTCTGCGCAGCATGTCTAAAGCCTGAAATACCGAAGCCACCCTTACCTTACTTCCCCAAAGTGACAACGCGCGGGAATTCAGTCACAGCAGAGAACGAGTTGCATCCAGTAACTCCCTTAGCTACCGGCCCCCCAGAAGTCTCGTAAAGTCTCAAAAGGCGATGCGATTAGCAAGACCGCGGCAAGGGGGGCACTTGTTACTCCTACACTTGCTCTCTGTTTAAAAAAAGGCTCTGAAGTAGGAAAGGTAGATGCCGACCCTTTCTCCCGTCCTTAAACTACTCACCTTGTCAGCCCAGTAACTGAGATAAACACAACAAAACAACCCCCCCACAACAACAAACACAACACCCAGATTCAGGCATTTACTCTCTGTATGCCCACCTACTTGGGTTTTCCTTCATCCTTAAGAAACTCAGATGAAAACAGAGCTTTGTTTTAAAAAATACTTTTATTTGTTTATTTCAGATTGCTTCTGAGGAGGAAAATCCTTCTCCCAACGGAGGCCGAGGCCCCTTCTAGGAAGGCGGTTTATTTGCTATTACTTGACCATTACCCGGGCTTAGGGCTTCTTTATTGCATTTGGCACTTGGAGCACAGTCTTCTTGCAGTATTTTGATGTGTTTTGCAAAAAAAAAAAAAAAAAAAAAAAAAAAAAAAAATCTGTGTTTAGGGGAAGGTTAATTACGCTTTTCATTCTTCCCTCATCTCCAGCACTGTGGAAGGGAACGGTTCATTAGCTGTAGAGGCAGAAAGGCTAAAAAGCAAGGCTTCTTTTTTTATTTGTAGGGACTGCAGAGTTGCAGGTCTTGGCTATAGAGTGCATGTGAGTGTGTGTGTGAATGTGAGTGAGTGTGACTTTTGCCGGCTAGCCCAGCTCCCAGGCTTTCTGAGCCAAGGCCTCCCCTGGGCCCTGGGGCCGGCTTCCTGCAGGGACAGACATTCAACATGTAGGACTAGAAATTAACATGTCATTCCACGAATTTTGGTTTCTTTCTTTCTTTCTCTTTCTTTTTTTTTTTTTTTTTTTGGAGTTGAAGGTGAGGAGTCGTAAGCAATTTCTCTTTAAGCATGTTACTGTTTGGGAGTTTATTTTATTTTTGTAAGTTGGGGCCAGGTTATCCGAGGCTGCAGTTGTGACCTGGGGCAGGAAGGGGGGACGCCCTCCTCCCCGGGCTAGAAGGACAAGAGAGCGGAGTTGCCCCCGGCACGCCCGGCTCGGCCCCCTCTCTCCCGGCACCCCCCTGCGCGTTGCCTCCGCTGGAAGCGGGCGGTGAGATGGAGAACCTTGACTTGTCATCTCCTGGTCACCGGCTTTTTCCCTGTTCCCAAGGCACCCAGAGCCCTGTTCCCAAGAGCTGAGCCCTCCCACGCTTCATCTCAAAACCGTCTGGTGCTGAGGAAGTGGCCCAAGATGGACGTGGGGGTGGGACTGGGGAAGCCCCAGTGAGGTGGGAGGCAGTTTCTCACTCAGGGGGCCCCCTACACCTCGCTCCTCAGGCTGCTCAGCTCAGGGCTCCAAGGTTTGGCCAGAACTCTTCTTTCCCTCTCTAGTCTCAGAGGGGCTGCGTGCCTGGCGCGCTGCTTCCCTCGGAGCTGGGTTTACATTGACAGTGTAAACTCACACCCACACATGCGTGTGCACACCCACACACGTCTTGGCTTCAGGAAGACAAGGAGCACTCTTGCGCGGAGGGCAGGCACACACTCACTCATTCACTCTCCCTGTTGGGACAGGCTCCTTCCTAGCCTCATAGGGCAAGGGAGAGTGAGTTTGGGGAAGAGATGGGGTGGGAGGGAAAAGTTACACTCTGATGATGCCAGGTACATTTTTTTGGAGTGACGGTTAACCCTTCTTCCGCTGGAAGCCGCTGTCTAGGCATTTTCTAAAACGGTCTGTGGGGTCTGCTTTTCTTTTCTCCTGGACGGCGCAGGATAAATCATTAGTTCCCTCCCGACTTCCCCACTCCACTAGCCACGGTCTTCTTTCTAAAATTAGATTTCCCCCTTCCCACTCTTCTGGCCTTCAGAGTTTACCAGGGAATTTTCAAGGAAATTGGCTGTATAGTGAGAACAAGTGTAAGGAAGAGGATAAAGAGGAGACAGACAAATCGATCAGAAAACCAGAGAGGGAGACAGGAAGGGAGAAATAGTGTAGTTCTTCCAGATCCTTAGTTTGCACACAGATTGGTATTATCCTCCCCAGCCCCTCCAGGAAATGAAAAAAGTATAATCCTTGTTAATTACCTTTGCTTACTACAAGCCATACAAGAAACTTCAGAGATGTCTCTACATAGGGAAGAAACTGTTTACAAGACTCTTTCAAAAGTGTGACATATTGCTCTAGTTCAGCACTAAAAAGCTAAACACACTTAGCCTCCTTTGAAGTGCCCTGGCTGGGGCAGCTTATTTGAGTGTGGTTCAGATATTGCTGTGGGTATAACTAATGGCTTCTACCTATTTAGCTCAAGTGGGAGGAGAGAAAGTCCTGAATTCCTTGTCCAATGGGTCCCTCTGGAGACTGGGTTCTGGCTTCTTGCCAATTCTGTACAATGTCAACATTGAATATTTGAATTCCCAGACTCTATTTAACAAGTTTCTAAATAAATAAACTCATTGTGTGTCTGTGTTTAAAATTATTTCACCTCTTTCATAAAAGCTACAGCATCTTATTACATTGGCCTTGCAAGTTGATTTTAAAAAAATAAACAAACAGATCTCAAGGCATTTTAATAGCCAGATCTCCACAATTTGTATGTATTGTGAAGCCATTCTCTCACGTGTGGCTGTGTAGGGGTTACCTAGAGGGATCGTGATAGCGAATTTTAATAAAAACCCCAACTAAGTTCAGAAAGTAAGTGAAATATTAACTGCGTCTAAAGGGAGCCTTGACTGTGTAACTTTAGTGTATTTAGATATTTGTTAATTTTGTCTACTGGGTCTACAGGGGACAGAGAGCCTCACTGATGTGTTCTAAATGGTTGTCTGAATACAGATCCCCCTTCCCTATTGGTATCAGTAGGTCTAGAACTCTGCCCAGATGGTTTTGTTTCTAGGCATTTTTTATCTGTGTATGTCCTTGTAAGTTGGAAGGAGTAAATATATAGATATTATCTTCATATTTCACTTTGGTGAAAAAACCACAAGTCCTATGGTTTTACTAATTATTCAGCATTTAAACATCCATACAGCATTTTTATCTATATAGAAACATAGTTGTTCTAAGAAGTACATACTGAATTTTTTTTAAGGCAAGTTCTAGTCCTTTTGAAAGTGTGGACCACATCTGGAGTTGTTAGGAAAGAAAGTGGAATTTACTCTAATTTATGTGTATAAAATACAATGTTATTAGAAAGAATGGGATTTGAAAGGGCACACGGTAAAGCCCATAACATTTAGTGGGTAATGTGGAGAACTCAAAGCCAAGACAAAAATACCATCAACCCATGCAAACCCTAAAATAGATTACAATGACCTCAGTCATTTTCATTTTCAAAAATAATAGCCATGATTAAAATGGGGGAGTGTTTTGCTTGGAACCATACTCTTCGGCATTATTATAAAAGCTGTTTTGTGGTTAAAGAACTGTTTCATTATGGAAAAAAAGGGAACTGAATTTTTAATCAAATTCCTGACTCTTCAAAAGCACTCATTCTTGAATTAATTCTTATTTTGATTTTAGTTATTATTCTTATTCATTAGCAAACGTGCTTTTGGCTTGTATATTCAGCCAAATTCTTGACTACTGACTTTTATAACAATTCTAAAGGAGAAATTTATTTAGAAAAGAGATTTTATTATGTTAGTAAACATGTGTGTAGGGGTCATTAACTACACAACATAAAGAACCAACATTTCCTAAACCTTGTTCAAGAACCTGCCTAAATGAATTAGTTGTATATGTCAAGGTTGTTCAAATGATGACATTTATGAATGAAAGTGCTTGTACATGGCAGTTTTTGTGCTTTGGCGATGGGCAGGCTTACACAACAAATATCAATGTGCTAGGCCCTGTGCACGGGCAAACCATGTTCCCTACTCTCACAAGCATTACAAACGTGCACATCAGTGTTTGAATCTGGGCATGATCCCTGATTGAAAAGTCAGGTCCTCTTCAAGTTATTGAATGCCTCTGAGGCCTAGCATCTTTACTTGTGAAGTGGGAGTAATAATACTACCCTCCTTGGGCTGCTGTGAGAGTTAATTGGTATAATGTGTGCAAAGTACCTAAGGCACATGCTCAATAAATCTTAGTGGGTTTCAGTTTCCTTATAATTTATCAGTTAAATTTTCTGAAGAAGAAACATCCTTTTTTTTCCCCTCCTGTTTAATGTTTTTATCCAGTTTCCTTTTTAAAAGTATTTACATGTCTACGGTAAGCATTTTGTATGTCTTCTCAATAAATTATGCCCTCAGAATGAAGGGAAGTCATATCTAAAATTTGGGCACATTAAAACTGTCCATACCAAGCCAAACTAGGCAGTAAATTTGTTCTGAAAACTTGAGCATCTTCCTTTGCCCTTTATTTGGAGTCGGGGTGAGGGGGATGTGTAAATAAAATGATTGAGATTTCAACTTTTCCCCACAGATTTTGGCATTGTATAGCCACACAGCCCTAATTTAGTTTTGCATACTCTCTAGTTATCATTAGGCAATAATCCCTCCTGAATGAAAATTTGACTTTTAGTGGATTGAGTTTGTAAGTCACTTTACTACTGCAGCTGGGTTGCTCCTCTTTAAATGAATGGATTAGACTAGAGCAGAGCCTGTAAATTTGCAGGTACCATAAATGAGTGAAGCAAGGTGGGTATAAGCCTTAAGCTCTCTCCTATTTTTATTTAATTTTTTGACACCCAGCCTTTGTATTTCAGAACAAGAGGGAGTGGCGGGGATGGTGGGAAACTGGCAGTTCAAGACTCCTCTAAAGGTGGCAGCTTCTTCTCAGCTCCTGCTCACTGTTACCATTTGGGCAAGGGGGTTCAGGGCCGCCAGGTCTTCCACTTTTTAAGAGAAGCCACAAATCTGGGTTTTTATGTAAGTTTTCTCTACTTTATGAAATGTTGATTCAATTTTAAAAAATTCTGCAGGCCCAACCAAACACCTCTGCCTGCAATATATAGTTTGTAGGGTTTGCAATGTCCAGATTCATTGATTTCCAAGGGTGCTTCAAAGTTTCATTTTATGGTGATATCCAGAATGGTTTTTGAATATTACCTTGTGTTTTTAAGATCTATATCTTCTTCCCCACCTCAAGTTAATATGTGTGTGTGTGTGTGTGTGTGTGTGTGTTTTGATAGGTGGAAGTACTTATTACAGAATCTGATATCTGGCCATTTATCTGGAAAAATAGTCTTTTACAACTATGTTGTGTCTTTCTTTCCCTCCATGCCGTTTCATCATTAATTGGCTTAAGAAAATAAACTGAAGCATTCCCTCCCCTTCTTGTATCCACTGGCCACCATTCTTTCTTATTTCTCACTAAACCCAATTCTTTGATTTGTGGGCTGGGGGTTGGGCAGTAAATCATTAGGAGACAGTCATCTGTGGTTTTCCACAGTGGGAGAAGGAGTCATTTGGCTACTGTGGATATTCAGAGGAAGAGTTCACCCCTGCCCTCCTAGGAGAGTCCAGATGTAATGTCCTGTACATCTGTAACTGAGGAACCCAACTGATTTTTAAGACCTGAACCTAGGATGGAGAAATAAGTTTTTAAGGGATGAACGTCTTATTTGAGCAGAGTGGCTTTCCATGTAGGAAGGTCATATATGTTCGGGTAACATGTGAAAATAAACATACTTTGCTCTGTTTATTATCATGAGTTGTATTTCTAGCAGAAGTGTTAGGTGAATAACAGGTAAAATTAAGTCTTTAGGATTAAAAATTGTGGTGATGGAATGTCAACACAATGGACTCTCCTGATAAAGATTTGACTGAGCACTTTATAATATCTAACTCAATACTGTAGTCATGGGACTTGTCAGTGAATACATATCACTATCAGTGAATATTGTTGGGAATATCATCGGATAATGCAATTCTTTTAGAGGAAGATTCTGAGTAGTGATGAACCATGCATATAAGCATTATCAATGAGTTATCACCTCATTCTCAATCTTTATACCTGATGCTGAATCTCAAATTCCTTAGCTTGGCTGTTGAGGGGCTCTACTTTTGTGCCAGAAGAATGTGGTGACTCCTGAGTACAGGTCGGGAGTGAGATTTGCCTGGGTTTGAATCCTGGCTCCACCATTTACTAGCTGGTTGAAATGAAGGCAAGCCATGTAACCTTTTTGTGCCTCAGTTTCCTTACTTGTGGACTAGAGGTACTTACCTCATGTGAGGATTTGATCAAACTAATGCATTTAGAGTGCCTTAAATAGAATAAGAGTTCAATACATTATTTTATTGACTTTTCAGGCTTGTCTTATTCAAGACTGGTCCATTCAGCCTACCTTGTTTACTCATTCTGTACCTCTCAGTCTCTTATCAGCCTACTCTTGTGTTTCTACCATCCAAATTTTGGCCATAATGTTGCCATAGTTTGTAAATCTACCCATACTGTACACTGACTGTCAAAATCTAACTCCTCTAAGATTTCATTTGAACTCCTGCTTCTTCATGATCTCTCCTGGAGATATGACTTCTATGTTATTTCATTCCAATAGTATGGAATTGTCTTTATCATCATTTTGGCATTTTATTATAAATTGCTTGTCTTCATGGTATATATCTTATTTTTCTAGGTAAACTGTAAAACTCCTGGAGAGCCCATTTCTGTTTTGTATAGGGCCTAATACTATGCTTTGCATATGGCAGATATCAATATGATTAGGTGATGGTGGTTAGCAATGGGCTTTGGTGGATTATGTGAACCCCTTCAATTTCTTTGGCTGTAAAACCTGTGCAGTTAAGTAATGTCGGCACCAGAATTCTGGGATATCTGACATTTCAAGTGCATACTAAATCCACAATTGACCTATTTTGACAGTGATAAACCACCTGGAAAGTGGAGTATTATTCCTAATTTTCACCAATAATGTCCCTCATTTTGCCAGTGCAGGTATTGCCCATGACCCCTCACTTAAATCACAAATTGTTATTGATCTTAAACTCTGTACTAGACCTGATTCTGGAGAATGTCAAAGGAGTCAAGGTAGAAATGGTAAAACATTCTGTGGACTCATGTAATTCCTAGGGATTTGGGAATATTCAGTTTACAAGTCATCAGAAGCCAAGTTTTTACCTAAATCCTAACACCAATGTAGGCAGTTTTGCTGCCTAATATTTATGCTCTATTAATATAGAGCATGGTGTCAAGCATTTTGCTGTATATTTAAATGCACTTTTATGATTAAAGATTTCTTTCAAACAATTTAAGGTTGATAGATAATGTATTGAATCTTGTTTTACTGATTAAATTAACCCAACTCACTCAACTCTGTTCCCTTAATTCAAGTGCAAACATGACTTCTTCTTCTCTGCCCCTCCCCACTCCTCTAACCCCCATCTGTCATTTCACAAATCAACCATCTCTATAGAGAAAATAGGACTGTCTGTGTCTTGGACAACTATCCTCAAGTCCTGAATGATTACAGGCTTTTAGTGCCTGTTAGGAGTTTTCTTTTACCGAGAACAGCCATATATGGTTTCTTGTGCACTTAGGACTGCTCCTAAGTCAATGGGAACTCCTCTAAGTGAGGGTAAGACTAAGACCCACAGCTTTTATGCTTAGCATAGACTTTACCTTTGGTGGGAACTATGAAATTAGTAATAAAATGTTTCATGATAAAATGATAATAAAAACGAATGGAGGGATGGAATAGCTATCTTAGTTTTGGCTAGGGTCATAGTTCATGACCTTCTTTTGGGTCCCAGACTCCTGTGAGAATCTCATAGAAAGTATGGAGCTTCTTTCCAGAAAATACACATGCAAGAAACATTTTCATACAATTTTAGCAGCTCATGGATTTCTAAATTTCTAAATGGTTGAATGGGGGTTCAACCATTTTTTCAGACTTGATTCACCTTAGCATGTTTATTATAAAACATCTTAAAGTTTTTATCAATCTTTTTTCATTGTCTTATACACAATATTTTTCTTGTTACAAAATTTATACACAATAATTTTTAAATGAAAAGAATGTATAAAATAAAAATGAAAGTTATTTTCTTTCTTTTTTGTCATAAATTGCCTGCAGATGACCACCATTCATCCTTTAGTGTAGCTTCCAGCAGATTTTTTCCCCCATGCATATATTAGCACATACATACATATAGATTTACAACTTTTTACAGCAAATTGCCTTTTCTTTTTTTTCTTCTTCGTAGGTTACTGGGGTACTAGTGATATTTGGTTACATGAGTAAATTTTTTAGTGGTGATTTGTGAGATTTTGGTGCACCCATCATCTGAGCAGTATACACCGCACCATATTTGTAGTCTTATCCCTCATCCTCTCTCCACCCTTCCCCCCAAGTCCATTGTATCATTCTTATGCCTTTGCATCCCCATAGCTTAGCTCCCATATATCAGCGAGAACATCAATGTTTGGTTTTCCATTCCTGAGTTACTTCACTTAGAATAATAGTCTCCAATCTCATCCAGGTCGCTGCAAATGCCGTAACCAAAAAAGAAAACTACAGACCAATATCCTGATGAACATAGATGCTAAAATCCTTAACAACATAGTAGCTAACCAAATTCAACAACTTATCAAAAAGATAATCCACCATGATCAAGTGGGTTTCATATCACTTGCAGGGATGGTTTAATATACACAAGTCAATAAATATGATACACTACATAAACAGAATTAAAAACAAAAATCACATGATCATCTCAATAGATGCAGAAAAGGCATTTGACAAAATCCAGCATCCCTTTAGGATTAAAACTTTCAGCAAAATTGGCATTTAAGGGACATACCTCAATGTACTAAAAGCATTATTTTATTGTGACAAACCCATGGCCAACATAACACTGAGTGGGGAAAAGTTGAAAGCATTCCGTCTGCAAACTGGAACAAGACAATGATGCCCACTCTCACCACTCCTCTTCAACACAGTACTGGAAGTCCTAGTCAGAGCAATCAGACAAGAGAAAGAAATAAAGGGCTTTTTCTTTTTTTAAACTTAATATACCTTGGATTTTTGTCTGTATGTATCAATCTAAACCATTCTTTTTAAAGGCAGAAGATCCTCTATTGTTTAGATCTAACACATTTCATTGAACCAATTCCCTGTGGATGACATTTGGGTAGTGTCCAGTTTTCAGAACAAAACAGACAGAGAAGTTCCCCAAACCAGGACCCAAAGGAATATGAAAGTAAAGTCTGCAATTAAAGGAAGCTCACAGTTCAGGGTGAAGTGTGCTGGCCTCTGAGACACGGTCACAGCAGGGTTTTGGGAAGGTCATAGAGGGTTGCTTCACTGTCAGGGCAGATCAGATTTCCAAGCATCTTTGGCTTCTGGAGGATCAAGGGTCTAAAACCAGAGCTAAGGTATATCTTTCTAAAATCCACTGTGATATATCTGTGCTATTTCAAGCTTACAGGATTATTCCAGGTCTTATATTATGCCCCATTTCTATTTCTTCCTGCTGCTTGGAACAGGCTGTAGCTGAAATCAATCCATGTAGCCCAAACTGGGTAAGGATAAGTAAGTTGTCAGAGTTTCAGGCCTCAAGGCTTTTTTGTTGTTGTTAAGTGATTTCCTTGTTTGTGTGGGACATTATTATCATACTGCCTTATCCTGTACATGTACCTAAAGCCAACTGATGCTACTAGACCCACCAAAACTTTTTTGATGTTCTTTAAAAAATTACCCACAATAATTTCTAGCTTATGAATTATGAAGACCATTTTTATAGAAAAATGTTTTTCACTGGGTAATCAGACTATGGGAAAATTTTTATAATGGAAACTATCTTTTACTTTTAACTATAGCATAAAAAATATGACAGTATAGTGTTACACACTAAAGCCCATCAGATGCAAAATTCCAGTTTTTGATTATAAGTTATAAACCAGGATAGAGAGACTTCTGAAAAGTGGTTTTCTTTGGCAATGATGTTGTTGATTAAATATAAAAAATTCAGAAAAAATTAGTTCAGCCCATTCCTTTACACAGAAGGTTACAAAAATGGAATAACTGGGTTTTGGTTCTACTGGCAAGAACTATTTTGCTTATTAAAACTCATTGGATTATATCAGATTGCAAACATATTGGACATTTTAGATTGGATTTGAAAAGGTACCATTCAAGGAATTAAAATTATTCATATAAATCTTTAAGGGATTAATTTACTTTGCAATTTTAATTCCTTAGAGCACAATATTTGTTTCAAATGCGTACTTTTTTGGTGTGGATGTTTACTGGTTGTTCCATGAGGGCATTACTCTATTAACATTTTTCAAAGTATATTTTAAGTTAGATCAATCAAATTGAATTAATGAATAGTTATCAAGTACCTAGCATATGTAAGGCATGATGAATTAAATCCTATAAACACTCAATTTCCTGAAAATATTGAACACCGACATTTGACAGACATACATATACCCCTGAAAATGATTTATTAACAGGGACAAAGATATCCATGACTACAAACTGGTTTTGTGAGCTTGGAATACTGAATCCTAAGCCTGTCTCTTCTCCAGATATTTTGTTTTCCTATTTTTTTTTTTTTTTTTTTTGAGATGGAGTTTCGCTCTTGCCGCCCAGGCTGGAGTGCAATGGCGTGATCTTGGCTCACTGCAACCTCCGCCTCCTGGGTTCAAGCGATTCTCTTGCCTCAGCCTCTGGAGTAGCTGAGACAGGGTTTCACCATGGTGCCCAGGCTGGTCTCGAACTTGTGCGCTCAAATGATCTGCAAGCCTCAGCCTCCCAAAGTGCTGGGATTACAGGAGTGAGCCACTGTGTCAGCCTGATGTTTTCCTGGAAAGTCTGCCTATCACATTTGTCTGTTGTTAGGGAAATGCTGATTGCAATAACTGAGTAAGATGTAGGATGTATTTACATAGCCCATAAACACTTTATAGAAATACAAGCCTTGGGTCTGCAGATGGGCAAATTACTCCTTCCATGCTCACAGTTTTTGCGTATTTTATCCTTTGTGCAGTTAGAGCAAACTTTCCCATCACAGTTCAAGAACAAGTTCTCTTTAAAGGATCTCATTCCTCCAGCTTCTTGCCACTTACAAGAGCACCACTGTCTGAGAGCAAAGATCTGATTAAAATGCCCAAACTGAAGTCTCCATGGTTTCCAAAGGTGTGTCTTTCTGCTAGGTTCAATTTTTATCCAGTAGAAGATAGTGCTACCCCCAAATTGACATAAACTCACAGAAGTGGCTTGTCTTTCAGGCTGGCATGTGATTTTCTTGTTCATGAAACAGAAATAAGAATAAAAAGCGCTGCCTTCTCTTCCAACTGTCTTTGCCAACCATCTTGCTGAGCTATGTGTATGCATCCAAGCCAATGTTCCAGCCACTAGGCTTGGCACAGAAATCAGTGCATTGAACATCTTTACTTTTGGGCACAGTCTGAAATTCTAAGCAAAATTCCCCATTTGCCTAAATGCTTAAGATGCGAGTGATTTACGTATTCTGTTGATAATGATGCAGTATTAAAATACCAGCAGAGACCGTGGTTTGACCCATGAAGCAGCATTGTATCATATATATTTTTTTGACCTAAAAATACTGGGTAGATGGATCATTAGAGGATGGGAAATGTCAAGGTAAAGAGCATTATATGTCTAGGGTTTTCAAAGTGCCTCATGGTCTGTATATCAGATCTCTCTTCCTGCCCTCAAGTTATGGTAATATCAGTCACCAAGGTTTTATCTTCAAGAAGACAAAATACTCTGATACCTAATACAGCATAATGAGCTCCATCTTAGTTAACCTTCCAAGTGAATCCTTGGCATTGGCCAGGACTTGTAGAATGTGACATTTGTTTCCTTCTACTGCTTCTGGAGTAATTTACCTAACCATGTCATAACATGTCATTATGAAGCTTGTTAATTACTAATAACTTTCCTAAGAGGAAAATGCTCTCTGTGGTGTTTTGAGCCCTCCCTGCCTTGAAGATAGGGACTTGTTTTTTTTCTTAGGCGTGATCATCTCAAAACTTCAGTATATTTTGGGTACCGTAAACATGTTTTCTGGCGGATAATGCTGGCTGGGACGTCAGGATGTAGGGGTTTGAGTCTCAAGTTTGCTACTCATCAGTATGGTATCCTTCTGCAGGGCATTAACCCTCTGAGCCTCAGTGTCCTCAAGCGTAAGAGAGGAACAATAACTACCTCTGTTTGGCTTCTTCCAGACCAGCAATGCTAACATAAGATGACATATGTATAAGCTTTTATCAGCTGCAAAAAGCTGTGTAAACTTAACACACACAGAATTTCTTATTAGAAACTCTAGAAATTATAGAATATTAAAAATGCTAAGAGGGTATTAAGAATGTAGACTCTGGAACCACATTATTTAGGTTTTTCAGTTTTAATCCCTTAGAGCACAATATTTGTTCCAGATGCATATTTTTTTTTGGTGTGGATGTTTACAGGTTGTTCCATGAGGGCATTACTCTAGTTAACATTTTTCAAAGCATATTTTAAATTAGATGGCTTGGTTCTATCACTACCTAGCTGTGTGGGCATTGGCCAGCTATTTACTTCTCTGTGCCTGAATGTCATCATCTGTAAAATGGAGATAATTTATAACAGCAACAATAAGTAATAACGCCAGTCAAGGTTGTTGAGTGTTCATGCGTCACTGCAGTTAATCCTCACATCTCTATGAGGTGGATGATATTATTGTCTTAGCTTAGAGATGAGCGCTCTGGAGACATGTTTGTTCTTTGCTCCAGGCCTCTCAGCTTTAAGTACAGAGCCAGGATCCAAACCTTGATCTGCTTTACAATAAAGTCGAAGAACTTAATCTGAATGAATGCTCCACTGCCTTATTTTTTTAAATCCAGAAATAAAAGTAGAACACTACATTGCCTGGGCATTCCAAAGCTCATAAAACGTAATAAGATTTTGGAAAAAAGACACTTTAACTTAAAGAAATGATTTCATACAACTCTTAGTAAAGAGGAATTTTGCTGCAATTTAAAATGAGAAAGCTTCTTTTTATGACAGGGGCTGGTCATCCCTTCATCTTTCATTTTCTTCCTCAAGTTATCTGCATTGTGATTTTCTATTACGTTATGATTTTAGTTTTGTTTAGGGAGATCCAAATGTCTTGGTTGAATGAATGACTTAGGGATACGTCATTACTTCATTGCCTGACATCACAAGCTAATTATACCTTATCATTTACCAGTGAATAGATGGTGCTAGATTCAGATTTTCATTTCCTAAACAATGTATTGTGACAGTAAATATGCCCAAGCTCACCAGCATATTTTTAGGGCAAGGAAAGCTAGCTACAACTTTCTAATTTTTTTTTTTTGTACAATACTTGAGACCAAGTCTCGTTCACTTATCCTCAATTTTGTTTTAATATCCAAATGACTTGGGCCTGCAACAAAGTATTTCACTAGCTACTTAATTGAATAACCTGTAGAATTTAGATAAGGAAAGCCTAATGAGCTCTCAGATCTAGTTCTTTTTTAATTTTTTATTATTTATTTATTTATTATACTTTAAGTTCTAGGGTACCTGTGCACAACGTGCAGTTTTGTTACATATGTATACATCGGCCATGTTGGTGTGCTGCACCCTTTAACTCGTCATTTACATTAGGTATGTCTCCTAATGCTATCCCTCCCCCTCCCCCTCCCCCCACCCCATGACAGGCCCCGGTGTGTGATGTTCCCCTTCCTGTGTCCAAGTGTTCTCATTGTTCAATTCACACCTATGAGTGAGAACATGCGGTGTTTGGCACATGCACACGTATGTTTATTGCGGCACTATTCACAATAGCAAAGACTTGGAACCAACCCAAATGTCCATCAGTGATAGACTGGATTAAGAAAATGTGGTACATATACACCATGGAATACTATGCAGCCATAAAAAAGGATGAGTTCATGTCCTTTGTAGGGACATGGATGAAGCTGGAAGCCATCATTCTTTTTTTACTTTTAGGGAAAGAGCAGTGGACAAGTTAAGAGAAGAGACAGTGACTTTCAAATATGGCTGCATAGAATCACTTGGAATGCTTAAAAATACTAACCCCAATCCAATTAAATCAGAGTCTTTGGGGATGGGACTCAGGTAGTGGAGAGCAATGTGAGTCCCAGACATGAGAAACTGGGAAGCAGGAGGTCATTTTGATTAAACAATAGGGAGATAGCAGGGCTATTTCCAAATGCTACAATTGGGGGCTACTTCCAGCATTATATATATTTTCATATAGGGCTTCCTTTCAGTTTTTACAGGCATAGGGTTGTCTTTAAACTAGATAATGATCTTGCTTTCTGCCTATGATTTCTGGCCTTTGTAGCCGCAATAGATGAGAGATTTTCAATTGTGAAAGACCATTGGTGGGGAAACTTCATCAAAGAGAGTGGATGTTTGTGGAGAATCCAGAAGCTCTGATATCTTTTTGACCATTTTGATCTGGTGGCCATTTCTAAGGAGACAATAATGTTTCTTCAGATTAAACAACAAGGTAAACAATAGAAAAAAACCCCAGAATCAGCAGCTGTTTTATGAGGGAGGACTTTACTATTGCTAGCCACTTTTGTCTTTTGGTTTTCTAGAATTCCAGACATAAATGTTTCTGCCAACCTTCCCATGCAAAGGAAGCAATGGGAATTCTACAGAAGGTGTGCAGGGAAACCAGAAAAAAAAAATACATCTGTCTACTCAGAAATGTTAAAAAGCAGGATATTAGGTTTTAGGGTGGGATCGGGCTATATTTTAGGAAGTTTAGATGTTGAACGCCAGTAGCCCTTATGCTTGGTTGGTTTTAATCAATGCTATCAGTCACAGACTTCCATATACATGAAAATTCATTAAATAATCTCATTTGTTGTTGTTGGACAGCCTAGGTATGTTCAGTTGCACCTGAGTGTACATTTGGTCTGTGTTCCTAATGGTTCCGGAGGTTTAGTTGAGATCAGTGGGACGGACACAGAAACAGCCCCTGTTGAGAAACACAGTCATTTGTGTGTACTTATGCCGAAGAAGAATGGCTTTACTCAAAGAGAGGACTAAGTCAGTAAAGAGGCATGAGTGTGTATTTATAAAATGTGTGCAGGTGTATAACTTTGGACACCTGAAGGGCCCACACTCCTTCAGTTTAGTTTTAACTGCTTGTTTCAAAACTATTAATAATTTTGCACAAACCTCTGAGAGATTTCATTTGGATTTTGCAGTTTATTTCAATGCTGTTTAATCTAATTGCCCCTTTGTTTTGTTCCCCCAAAATGATCACTTGAGTTTTATAATTTTTAGAATTTCCTTTGAACCAACTGTAAAGGAATATGATGGTTCAATTGTTGAAAAGAGAGATTAAAGCCAGGTTTTTATGAGAATTTTGAGTTTTAAAATTATACTGCCAGTGTAAGATGAATATAAAATATAAAATGGTAGGGGCCGGGTGTGGTGGCTCACCCCTATAATCCCAGCACTTTGGGAGGGAGAGGCAGGTGGATCACCTGGGGTCAGGAGTTTGAGACCAGCCTGGCCAACATGGCAAAACTCTGTCTCTACTAAAAATACAAAAATTAGCCAGGCGTGGTGTCATGTGCCTGTAATTCCAGCTACTCAGGAGGCTGAGGAAAGAGAATCGCTTGAATCCAGGAGCCGGAGGTTGCAGTGAGCCAAGATTGTACCACTGCCCTCCAGCCTGGGCGACAGAGTGAGACCCTGTCTCAATAAATAAATAAATAAATAAATAAATAAATAAATAAACAAATAAATAAAATAAAATGCGAGGAACTGAACCAAGAGTAGAATTTTCTAGCCTCAGGAGTGGGGCTTCAGAATCATAACTATTTGAGATAATCTATGTATTTTAAGAGGATTATAAGTTATGGTGCAAGAGGAGTTTTGTAGCATACTATATGATAAACTAAAGAAAATAGAATGATTCTATTCTACAGTTGAGGCTTGAAATAAGGAAGATGAGGGTAAGTTTTTCTAGGCAATGCGTACGAGGGGGTGAAACTGGTAAGAGAATGCTGGCTTACCTATTTCTTAGCTGCTAGACTGCATACATTTGTTGCTATCAGAGGCAGTTTTGTGACTTGTTTTATGAGAGTTGAGTATCTCTAGTTGAGAGACATCTTTTTCACTACACAGAAATTATTCATTTCATTTTCACTGTGTTAAATAAAATAGTTTCTGCTATAGAGTGTTTACATACCATTGAGATAAAATAGGAAGCTGTATTCTAAAAGTTAGACCCAATATTCTGAACCCAGTGGAGATGAAGGCCCAAGGTCAGGCCAGAGTTGTCATGATGCCCTCAGTTAATGTTTTTGAAGCTTCCACTTGGTGAATGATTTTGGATGAAGGACTCTTTTTGTAATTTTATAAGTGACCTAATTCTCTCTTATGAAACTTATTTTGAGAGTAAGCAGAAGGAAATGGTAGTAATAACAAGATTGGTTTGTGCTCATTCACACTTTTCTGCCATTTGGATTCTGGGAGTGGTAGGGTGGGATACGGGATGGCAGAAGAAAGAATGTGGAAGAAAAACAGATGTGCAGCAGAAAGGGGATGTGCAAGGTGCAGCACATTTGGGGTACCTGTAAGAGGGTTTCTTTAGAAAACACAGTGCTAATAACTCAATATTTAAAGGCTCATATTTGGGGGTTCACATATTTCCATTAATAGTTATGTGAAAAGAAAATTTAGCAAAATCAGATTGATGACTGATGTAATTTAATTAGACTCCAGCCTCATAAATATGCAATGTTATTTGAATGAGGAGTTGAATTATTAGGCTCCCTGAGAAAAAAATGACAATCTGGTTTGCTTCAGAGTTTGTTGCAAACATTTCTGCCCTTGTATAAATGTGTAAAATGATTTGGTAATTTAAACACTAGAAGAAAGGCTAAATTTAATTGACCAGTTGCAGTAACCATTTGTAGATATTTTTTGCTCTCCTTTGCAGCCCTGACTCTCTTTTCCTCTTTTGTGATTGGGGATATTCCTTTCTTGAACCATGCCTTCTATAATAGCTTTGGGAGATGCTACTGGGTTTTCATTCTCCTGATAATTTCACGCTGCCTTAAATCCTTTGCATGGTGGCTTTACTAGCACATCCAGAACAAACTATTAAGACTTTATAATGATATTAAAATCATTCAGTTGGCCAAGGAGACTTACTGATTTTTTTTTTTTGATAGGTTGGCAGGATGAAGTAGGGGAAGGGAGCATGAGAGTACTTTCTATTTTTTTTTTTTAATTAACCTTTGTTTTGAATAAAACTCTGGCCAGGCTAAATACCTGAAGCTGTGTGAATTGATAAGCTCAATCTCCGAGATAATTTGGCAACTCAGTGTACTGGAGCCCTCTCCATAACCATGGTGACTCTCCGAGCAGTCAGATTTTTGCTCTTTTATCTTCTCTGAACTGCTCTTTACTTTTGGCCAAGATTCTTTCCTTTTCACTTTTTTTTTTTGTTGTTAGTTGGCTTAAGAACCTACCCTACAGTGGATGAATTTGCAGTTTTCTTTTCTTTTTTTTTTTTTTTTGAGATGGAGTCTCGCTCTGTTGCCCGGGCTGGAGGGCAGTGGCGCGATCTCGGCTCACAATTTGTAGTTTTCTTAATGTTTTATCAGTTACCCGACTATTTTAAAATCCCATTTCTAAATATTTTCCTTCTCTCTTGTCTTCCCTTCACATTTGAAATGGATAAAGCAGAAGTTTTGTTTTTCATGCCTACCTTCCCCAGTCACCATCTGCACCATCTCTGTATTCTTTCTCTTTTTAATTCCCTGCAAGTGTTGCACAGCTCTGTATTCTCTTTATGCCATTTTGTTAGATTCTTTGCTGAAATGAAATATATGATTAATAAATGGGAAGGCCTTTACTAGTGATTGATAACTACTCTTAGAAACACTGTCATTTGCAATTCATTAAATGCCTTATTTGCCATTTATATTTACTGAAAATTGATACTCTATGTATTAGTTCTTTCTCAATGACAGATCACTGGTAAATGTATCATTAAAAGAGAGCTTAATTCCAATTTGTCTTCATTTCTCCTTGAAATAATCTTACAGCTGTCATATGGACCTTCTTCTCCATTCCAATGCATTCCTCTTTGCCAGTGCCCACAATTGTTCTCTCTGATTTATGAATTCCTTTCCTTAGGGCAATATCATATTGTCAGAAGACCCAAATTCAAATTCTATCTCTGCCACTGGCTTTGAGACTTTGGACAGATAGTTAATAGACCCCAACCTCAGTTTTCTCATCTGTAAAGCGGGAATGAGAATATTTACTTCACAGAATTAGCGTGAGGTTCAAATGAGCTAATACATTGGAGAATGCTTTGTTAACTAAAAAATGGCATTTATATTGGTATTGAATTAGCCCACGTGGTCCTCTAGCTTCTTTGAATAGAACACTTATGATAATGCCCCATACTTGCAGGTTATAGATATATTACAAATAACAATTTGCAAGGAAAATAAAAAACTGGCCACAGATACGTAGTGAAACCCTCAATGAATAGCGTCAAATCTCTCCATTGCACAGAAGCCAGAGCCATCAGAGGGTGCAGGCTTATCAGTAAGGAGTTGGCTCAGTGGGGTTAAAGTCACAGAAGCGCTGACCTACCCAGATGTGTGGCTATGCAAATAGAGAACAGTCAGTATACTGACTAATTTTTCTTCAGCCGATCCTGTCCTGAGGTAACTCCAAGTGCTTTCCTACTTCTCACTGCTGTGCCTCCAGTCTATTCCTTTATACCTCAGCACCTGGCCTCCTGATTCCTTAATCTTGCTCTGTTCTGGGTTTTTCACCAAATGAAGCTTTCTTGATCACCAAACAGATTTCTTTCCATTTTCTGCCACCATCCTGTTTGCCTGAACTCCAATCTTAGGGTGGCCCTTAGCATGACAGGTGGCAATGTGAAAAGACTTCTGCCCTCCCAGTGCTGCCTCTTCCTGCCTATGGAGATCTAGAGTGTCACTGGTGGGGCTTCAGGTGGGTGGCCAAAGGCTTCATGCCCTCTGTGGGAGAATGCATTGACCCTTATCCCCCAGAATATCTGATTTCTTCACAAAGGCATGCACTGATTGGACAAGGGAGGGTGACATAACCTTGGAATCACCTCCTCATAATTTTGTTGAGTTCAGAGCCTGTCTCTCTTTCTGGCAAACCTTGATTTATGGGAGGCATAGGATTTAGGGGCAGAGCACATGTTTAAATCTGTGTCTACTACTTCGTAGCTCTGAGACCTTGGACATTGACATCACCTCTATAACACGGAGATGAGACCACCGACTTCATAAGGGTGTGGTGATGTTTCCATGACGTCATATTTGTACTGTGCTTAGCACTTTGAAATTCTCAGTAAAATCCTTTTCTTCAGTTCTATGACCTCTGTAAAGCTGCTACTGTTACCACCACCCCTTACAGAAGAGAAGCCTTAGTAGTAAAATAAAATATTAGAATAGCACAGATGGACAGACTCCTACAAGTAGGTTTCTCCTCAAATTCCATTAAAGTGTCAATATTTTTTCTAGTGTTTCTCTCTTCTGACCAGCACCTTAGTAGTAGTCATTAAAATTTTAGAATGGTGACAGACAATGTTTTGGAGAAGACTTTTCAACACTTTTTTATTGACAGCCCAACTTCTTTCAACCTTGGATGAACTTATTTTCACATTCTGATCTGTGGGCTGACAAATGGTAAGGTTGGGCCTGATTATTCTTTAGGGTCTTAATTATTCTTTCAGTAGGTAATTTAGGATTTATCAACTTTAGAAATCTACTGTTCATATAAAATATTAATTTTTTTTGAATTAAAAATTTTAATAAAATATCTTAATATTGCTCAAATCAAATATTCACTACGTCTCTTATAAAGAATTATCTCTGTGACTCCAGGTTTGCTCTGACCAATACACGCAACAGAAGTTTTTAAGATTCACCATGTGGTTCACTGTGTTGTGTCTTTTTCCTGTTCCAGATAGAGGCTTATTTTAGCAGTCTAAGGCCCAGAGGAATGATGAAGATGAGGCACAGGTGGCCCAGAATGGGACACATAGCATAGCATTAGCAAGAAATAAACTTTTCATAACTCACTGAGATTTTGGAGTTAGTTATTATGGAAGCATAACTTAACCTATTCTGACTGATATAGTGCATGTCATAGGTATAGATACTTATGAATTTTGATTAATGTTTTATTGATGTGCCAATTATATATCCTATCTTAATACTTGGGGTTTTGTGAACTGTGAATTATGTTTAAATTGCAATTGGTTTTAATTTATTCCTTTTCCCTATACTGATTACAAGAGTTTCATGTATAATGAAGTATATACTTGGAAGATATTAGTTATTAATAAAGAAAACCAAATTTAAACTGGCTTAAAAATTAAGGGAATGTATTAGCTTAGGAAACAGAAAAATCTAATAGATTACATGCCCAGGCACAGTTTGATCAAGACTCTGGTTCTATTATTCTTAATGTTTCTCTTGGCCCTTCTTTCTTGTGTGTTGGCTTCAGACTATCACAAAATGCTTCACTATATACTTTGTTATTCATATTCAGTAGGAAAGACAAAGCTTATTTTCTCCAAAACTTTGAAAAGAAATCATAATCTTTCTTCTAATTGGACTGAGTTAGGCAATATGTCAGCTTTTGAAGACACTTCTGTGGCTAGAGGAACACTATGCACTGATTGGCTCAGACGTGGGATACATGCCCATCTCTGAACCAAGTCTGAATCCATCGCTGGAGCTTGGAATAATGCCATATTAATATGGGAGAGCTAGGTGCTATAACAGGTAAATCCCAACTTCTCTCTGGATTAATACATTTATTAAGTAAACATTTATTTTTTAGTTATCTCGTAGACTGATATGGGTGTTGCTAATCCTAATGATTGGTTCACCTCCAGGAGCTTATTCAGTATCTTAGCACTCTTCCATCTTCAACGTGGCACTCCAAAATTGCTGCAAACAGAGAAAGAGACCTTGGAGAAGATACATCTACTTCTCAACTACTTTAGCTCAGAAATGACACACATCACATCCCCTCAAATTCCACTGGTGAGAACTAATCATGTGACCCCTCCTAGGTCAAGAAAAGTGTAAAGTGTGAGAAGATGCCTTGAGTGGGCATCTGCTTTCCAGCATCCACTCCAACCTGTGGAAGGCGGCATGAATCTTTGCTGATCAGCCAACTGACTCTGCCACGGATGTTAATCCCACCCACGCAGCACAAAAGGGAGATAAATGGAGTGAATATTGGGGAGGCAACTAACCATGTCAACCACACCAGGAAGCCAGGTCTTAATGTCAGGCAGGCCTTGATTTGTGCTGAAGCAGATGTGTGAGCCCTCCATTGCCTATTAGACTGACCAATAAGATCAAAAGTCCATGTATTACTTGAAAATAATTTCAGAAAATTATATACTAGTAAATACATGATTACTTGTAAGACGTCAAGTTCCTCTCTCTGGAAAAGCAGGTGAGGGCTAAGGGTCAGGTGGGATGTGAGGTAGGGTGCTTCTTCTCAGGGTCATGGTGCATGGTAGCAGGGGGCTAATACTGTCAGTCATGTGTAGGAGGACTGCTGGGGATAAACCTGGAGAATGTGTTCATGAGGGTCACACAAAGGGGCCACATGCAGAACTGGGATGAAGTCCACATTGGGGAGGTCTTGGGGAACAAGACAGTGCAGAAGAGTGAGAGGAAGGTGAGTAGTTAGGAGGGAGGTGGTTTTATGAAATTCAAAATTTGAAATGTAGTACTAATGCTAGGGGAAGACTTTAAAGTGCTCTGAGTGTGTAGGCAAGTCAATGGAGAAAAAATACAGTTCACTACAATTATCTACTACATAAGAATTTTAATTATCAAGCCTTGCAACTTGTATAAAGTACTTTGGGAACTTTTTTCATCCTTCAGGTGTCAGATGAAATATTTCTTCTCCAGAGAGACATCCTTGATGAGAATTTCCTCTACCATTGCTTCTTTATTACTGCATTCCATGTTGAAGTTTTAATCATTTGTTTGTTTACTTTATAGAGTTTACCTTTCATGCTGGATTGCTTGCTCAAAGGTTATGTCTCCTTTGACCCCAGTTGCATACTCATTACCTTGCACTGTGTGTGGAATAATATGGAATGAATGGTGTTTTCAATATTTTATGAGCCCATGATTATAAACATCTATTGATTTTTAATTTGAAGAGTAGCTCTTTCAATCCAATTTTGATGCTAGAAGTTAAATAAATTATTTCAAACTTTGAAAACTTAAAGATCACATATAATGAATTTGTGATTAGTTGAAATTCCACTTGAGTGAATTTGCAGTTACGTAAGATTTTACTGTTGTGTGATATTCTCCAACAGTCCGAATTAGGACACAGTGCCAGAGAGCTCAGTTCTTCTGGTTGATCTTTATTTCAGAGTTTTGAGTCATCCATAGGCCTCAAATATCTGAGGCCCGGGACAACTTGGCTGTAAGTTCCTGGGACCCCAGAGTCATCTTTGGCATTTCCAGGCCTAGAATAAAAGTAGATTCTGCTATCCACAGTCTCCAAGTTGGGTCTGATTCCAGATATTTCTGTGTAACAAATCAACCCTAAACTTAATGGCTTGAAACAACAGTTTATTATTACTTTTTGTAGTTCTAGGTGTTGACTGAGTTCATCTGGGTGGTCTCATTTGCGGTCTCATGTGGCTGTGGTCAAATGTTGGCCTGGGGCTGCAGTCATTAGAAGACCACTAAGCTGGATGTTCGAGTGGCTCAATCGAATGGCTGCTTGCTACTGGCTGTCAGAGTTCAGTTGAGGTTCTTGAGGACATCAATGTTTGCATATGGCTTCTAACAGCACAGTGGCTGGGTTGCTGGAGGGAGCATTCTAAGCTGCAAGGCTTTTTATGACCTAACATTGGAGTCATGCTGTGTTGCTTCTGCTATATTCTATAGGTCAAATGCGAGTCCCAGGGCCAACCCAGATTTGAGAAGAGGAGACTACACAAGGGCACGAATACTGGGACTTACAGGTGGATAGGGTGGCATTTTCAGAGACTAGGTATTGTAGTCTATTTAGAAATGAACAGATCACAGTCTAGAGTGTTAGGCTAGGTTTGCTCACACAAGACTCTTTGCTTTATTCAGAGGTTGTTCGTGTTTGCTCTAGATCATGGTGGGAGTGGGGAAATGCCTTTCTCGTGGACGGATGTCCCAATTCGGGAATGTAGAATTGTTGTAACTTAAGATTCTCTAAAATATCAGGAAACTGAACCCAAGAGATCTTAACTCTTCCTAGTCTGCTGCATGGCTCACCTGATATAATGGTCAACTGGGGGACAGGATTACGAACCTTCGAAAGTCTAAAGGTTCCAGGAGGTGTACGCTCCTACTTGGCAGTTATAAACTGCTAAGGAGTGGCTGCATTGTATTTAGAAGTTCATCTGACCCTTAGATTCATTAGAACAAATATCCCAGGCGGTTGAGATTTCTGGGCTGCTTCTTGTCACTGAATTGTGAATCTTCCCCATCAGTCTCCTATTTCTTTTTTCTATTACATGAAAAATATATCCAGACATTGTTTTGGAGCATTAGAAAAGAGTGGTAGTTTCTAGGAGACAAACATGTTTGTCATGCAAATTAACCCCTTAGTCTTAAAAAAGATTCTTACTAGGGGAAGGGAATAGATAGTGAAAACTTGGTTTTAGGAAAGTGTTTTATAAAATTTCTTGATGTCTGTGTGGATAAGGTGATGAAAATTGGCAGGGTGAGTTAGACATCTGGTGAAATAACTATATCTAAAGATCTTGGATCTGTCAAATTGGGGAGACTAGTGGATGGCTGCAATAATCTGTCCTCATCCTACATTATTTCACATTGGTATCTATGATGCAGACAGAATGCTCTCAAGCTTTTTAGATGACTTCACCGGGGTATATGGCCAATATAAAAGATAACAAAGTATTATCCACATTACTTTTTCAAGTTGGAGCTCTGCCTGGTGATCTGCAAGGTGTCTCTCAGTAGATACAAATGTAAAATTGTGCATTTAGGTTTAAAAAATTAATTGCATAATTATGGGAAGGCTCGACAGAAGATTTAGGTGAAGAATAACTAGTGGAACAGAAGCTGTGATCATGTGGCTTCTAAAAATCTGGCATTATATTAGTGCAATAAAGAAATAAATTAATTATGAAAATGATCCTTCCCTTTATACTCTAGATTATTTAGAGCATATCCAGTGTAGTTCACCCAATATTGGTTGTTACCTTTGAAGAAGCACACTGACAGCCAGAGTACATGCAGCCACATC
This sequence comes from Homo sapiens, assembly GCF_000001405.40. NCBI lineage: Eukaryota > Metazoa > Chordata > Mammalia > Primates > Hominidae > Homo > Homo sapiens. Next base: position 169,635,671 of record NC_000003.12, on the reverse strand, counting down.
CTGTGAGAAACTATAGGATTTTACATGTTCAATGAATATTTGGAAATTCAAGCAGCATTTGAGAATGGTCTTGAAAGATGGATTCACTTTTGATAGAAATGTGGAAATGCAGAGAAAACTATGTGAGCTGAGTCAGAGAATTATGAGATATGTCCAGGAAATGGGGAGAACCACCTCCTTTGTTTTAAGTGCATGGTGCATGGCAGATAGCAATGGGAGATGAGGCTAAAAATGTAGGTTGGAGAAGATAGTTCCAACCTGGAATGCTACATCAGGGTGTGTGTATTTACCTCGGTAGGCAATGGGAAGTGATCCATGGCTTATAAACTAAGGAATAATAATGGTAATAATGATGATGATAATAATAAAGCTCATAGGCACTGTTCTAAGCTCTTAAATATATTAACTCATTTAATTTTTGCAATAGTCCTATGAGTTAGACATTGCTATCATCCTTGTTTTATAGATGAGAAAACAAAGGGGCAGAGGTTCAGTAACTTCCCCAAAGTCACACCATTCATAAAGGTAGAGCAGCGGCCTGGCTTGATGCTGTGCTCTGACCCCCTTCCCCGGACAATGCCCTGGCAGCGCCACAAGGGCTGAACTGCATGAGCCTCTTCTGTGCCCTCTGTAGTGTCTGCTGCAGCACCCAGAACACTGTGGTCCTCCATACACCCATCCTGGCCTAGCATTTCACTTCTCGCTTCTGCTTGGAACGACCCAACAGAAAAACAAGGTGCTGGAGATAAAGGAAGCTGATGATTTAAAAAAGTGATTAAGAAGCCGTGTTTACTTTTTGGATTTTGAGGCCTTTCAAGTTTCAGGTTTGAACAGTGGGTTGTGGGCGGTGCATCTAGACTCTGGTTCACTGCCAAGAGCTGGGTGTGTCTAGTACAGAGGAGTGATTTAAGAGTAATTTAAGTTTAAGTGCTCCCAAATGAACATTACCCCAGTAGCATAAGGTTAAATTCTGGCTTTGCAAGGCCCCAAGCAGACATTTGAAAAAGAGAACTTTGGCCCTTTGTTCAAATCCCACTGATGTCTGGATGCCTTGTGATTCTGGTGCTACTTGGGTGGCATTGATGTTTGAGAGAGAGAAAAAGGTTGACTGGAGCTGGGGCCCTTCTGCCCTCTGCTATTTGCCCCTCTTCACCCTTACCAACAAGCCTTGGCTAACATCCTCAAGTGAGAGAGATTAGCTATTGAAATAGATGGTCTGAGTTAGTAAGACAGGGTGTGGGTTTAACAGTGACTTGGATAAACTTACTTGTGATGCTCCTGTATGAACACATTAGCTTAAAAAAATTTACTGGGGCATGATCTCAAAAGCTCTGTAAATTAGGGCTAAAACCTGTCCCAATAATGCTGGCTAATACTTGCTTATCTTGTTGCCAGCAAAGAGGTGTGTGTGTGTGTGTGTGTGTGTGTGTTTGTGCACACATGTTTGTGCATACCCATGTGTGTTCTGGAGACTTGGGAATATTTAGCTTGATGACTATATTTGTTTTGAAAAGACCTAAAGTTAGTTCAGTCATTAATGCAGTTTTCCTCTCCTTCTGTGATAATGGTTCAGGAGCATCTCAGTGCTCTTGCTCCTGCTGTCCCTGCACTGTGGCTGGCAGTCCTGTTCTGTCACACTGAATGGCCCCATTCTGTGGGATGAGTTCTCTAACAGCAGGGCTGTGGTGTGGACACAAGCCATGCCGTTTCTCAACAACTCCTCCCCTGCTGCCTGTCGCCTGTTTGTTTTTTGTTTTTTTTTTTTTTTTGCCAGGGTCACTACTGTTTACCTCTCTCTTTCTTTTTCCTTTTTCTGTCTTACTTTGTTTCCTCCCTGACACTTCACCCTTTGCTTGTCTTAGGCTGTTTCTTAGTTTTCCCTTCATCTTGACCCCCAACCTTAGCCTCTCTTCTTGAGCTGGCTGACGAAGCATGGCCACTTTACCCAAGGCACGATGAGACCAGATCACTGCACAAGGGGCTGAGGTCCCTGACATTGAGTGCTGGGATGCTTGGAGACCACCTTTCCAGTGGTTGATCGACACAGAGTGTGTGTGTGGGTGAATTATTCTGTGCTGGCTGTGGGAAACAGGCAGTGCTAGATCCTTGGCAAGAATGTTATCCATGTATAGTGATGCCCACACCCTCCAAGAACCTTTTGTTCTTTGAATCCCACTCCTGTGGGTTGATGTTTTAGTGAGACTAGTGAGTAGCCCAGCATTTTTCTTCCTTCTAATTCATTTAACACACACACGCACACATCTATCTTCTGCTAAGATGTGTAAGTATGAGATAAATGGGAACACAAGGATCATATTGTACTTGAGTTATATCATTGCTGACTTCCTGAGAAGGCTGTTCAAATGACTAGAGGATGTTAACTAAATTGACAATGTGTTTCTCTGAAGTGGAAGTGAGCAAAACATCTGCTTTTATAATAGTCTGCTTGCCTGGATAGGCATGTACCGTTTTGTTGTTCCAGAAGACTTTCAAGCAAATATACTGGTGAGTTTCAATGGCTTGGAACTTCCTGTTTTGTGATTAAAAAAAAAAATGCCTTTGGAGAAAGGGCAATGTTCACAGGATTCAGTGTTGCTTTAAATGTATTCTCAGTCCCCAGGTTATCACAGGGAAAGATTGATTAGGAAGTTACATGGGATAGAAAGCAGATGATAGGTCCATTGCTTTTTTCCTTTAGTGCATAGCATTTGTTGACACTGTTGTGTGATACAATGAACCTAGTGTTGGAGATGCTAAGGCCAAGAAATACAGAACATTGAAAGGACAAGCATCCTACAAAATGTTCAGGAAGTCCATCCAAGCCTTTTCCTTTTGATTTACAACCTTTGTTCAGATAGGGCCTCGGAAAATCAAACCAAACAAAAATAAAGACCTTTGGGATAAGCTAACTCAGACAGGTTGCCATGAATTTCATGAAGAATTTGAGGGACATAATATTTAATGGTGATATTGGCAGATAAAGCAGTTTTTCTGGTGTTTGCACGTGAGAGAAGTGACTCTGGCCAATCTACTGTTTGACTCAAAAGCATAAACTTGGAGAGTATGGAATTTTTAAATTGTCACCTCTTGTATGTGGTCTTGGGCAGCCATCTTCATCACCTCTTTGGACTGTGAGTTAGCCCATGTGTAAAATAGAGCGGTAAGTTTAGATTATTTTTTAATTCAAGATGATGCTCTGTGATTGGGTGACTATCTTTACCTCTTTGGAGTTTGAGTCATTCTGTCTGTAAAATGAAGCTATAAATCTATTTTTTTTTCTCCGAAGTATTACCTGATTGGTGAATGCTAGATGACTGGTGAGGGAATGGAATATTTTGCATGAAGGAAAGTGTCATTGGAATTTTTAGCACCTATTTTTAAATGAATCTCACGTGATATGAGATTTCTGAGTTTTTCACATAGCTTTATTTTGAAACATATTTTGAAAAAACATGTGTTTTGAATATATATATATATATATTTCTCTCCAGAATGCTTCTGAATAAATGAAAGGAAGGAATAACTGAGAACAGAGGATAGCTAATGGCCTTTCCTTGCTCTCAGTTCAAGCTGGATCTGTATATTGCCTTTTACACAAACCAAGTGCTGGTGTAGACAGAGTCCCTAAACTTAGCAGCTCATGGAATTGGTGCTGAGTACATGGTAGAGAAAGATTCAAAATGCTGCTGTTCTACCTGAGATGGGAAAAATGAAAGCAAAATAACATCAACAAGAGCAGACAAACTCAGCCTTGTAGTTCCATGTCACTAGCCTGGGGTTTCCTAAACTGTAGGGTGTAGACTAGAATGGGGGTAATTTGGGTGGCTCATAGCCTGAGTACTCAACAGCCTTGAACCAAGAAGTGAGTTATTTAGTTTCAAGCTCTCTTTTAGTCCTTCTAATAAGTGCAAATGTAAAATCATCATTCTCGGTAAACTATCGCAAGAACAAAAAACCAAACACTGCATATTCTCACTCATAGGTGGGAATTGAACAATGAGAACACACGGACACAGGAAGGGGAACATCACACTCTGGGGACAGTTGTGGGGTGGGGGGAGGGGGGAGGGATAGCTTTAGGAGATATACCTAATGCTAAATGACGAGTTAATGGGTGCAGCACACCAGCATGGCACATGTATACATATGTAACTAACCTGCACATTGTGCACATGTACCCTAAAACTTAAAGTATAATAATAATAAAGTAAAATAAAAAAAATTTGCTATTTTCTCTAGTCAACAGAAAGACAGAAGCTTCATCAGATAACAGAATTTAGCTAGAATTTATTAATATTGTTTTGTCTTCTCTCTTTTTATGATTCCCTCTATTATAGCAAAAGATACTGACTTTCCATTTGAACTGTTCTTTTAGAATGAATTTAGGGGACAAAAGTGAGTGCTTGAAGGAAATCATGAAGTAGCTATTGCCCAGGTGATGCACAGATATTTGCAAAGGAAGTACTGGGATGAGTGAAGTTTGGGAAACACTAGCTGCAGATACATATGAAAGCAATTTAAAAGAGGCAAGGCTGGGCTTTGAAGCCAGGGCACTGATCCCAAGGCTAGGGATCCTTCTGCAGTCTCCTTGTGCTCCACCACTGCAGAGCTGCCTGCAGCCTGATCTGGATAGCTGATGGAGGAGGACATCAATATGCTTCCCTCAGCATTGCTATCAGGTTATCTCTACATGGGGATGGAGGCTTCCCTCTTACAGGCTGGGCAAAGTCTCATGAGAATGAATTTGGGGCTGGGCAGAGTGGCTCACGCCTGTAATTCCAGCACTTTGGGATCCCAGCACTTTTATGCAAACCAAGTAGTGGTATAGACAGGGTCCCTGAACTTAGCTCATGGAATTGGTGCTGAGTACATGGTAGAGAAAGATTCAAAATGCTGCTGTTCTACCTGAGATGGGAAAAATGAAAGCAAAATAACATCAACAAAAACAAACAAACAGCCTTGTAGTTCCATGTCACTAGCCAGGGATTTAAGACCAGCCTAGAGAACATGGTGAGACCCCTTCTCTACAAAAATAAAAATAAAAATACAAAATAAGCTGGACATGGTGGTGTGTACCTGTAGTCTTAGCTGCTCAGGAGGTTGAGGTGAGAGGATTGCTTGAGCCCAGAAATTTGAGGCTGTAGTGAGCTGTGATCATACCACTGTATTTCAGCCTGGGGAACAAGAGTGTGACTCTGTCTTTTTTTTTTTTTTTTTTTAAGAATAAATTTGGGGGCAGAATTTCCAGAATAGTAGCTCTTTCTCCCCATAACTTGTGAGGATTAAGAGAAAAATGCCCCAAACTCCATCCTTCTCATGGGCCCCTTGTCAAACCAAGGTGACTTTCTGAGGTAGCCACTCACTGGGTGCCAGAAAACCCTGAGCCTGTTTATCCAGAATTCTCTGTGCCTGTGCCATAAGCAAAAGTTTTGTGTCTTTAGCAGAGATGATATTGTTCCGGGGTTTGGCTTTCCCTCACCCCCAGGGGCACAGTAGATGCTAATGACTTTGTAACGGCAGCAGGGGGTCATGACAGGGAGCTGCTGTGTGTTGAGGAGAGAAGGCATGTTTCTTTCTTCATTGTGTGGAGAGCGTCACAAGCCACTCTCTTTCCATCTGCCCATCATGCTGGGAGTTGTTCAGATGGCCAATGGAGGAGCAGGCTGGGACTAGTCCTTGGCAGGGCTCCGCAGAAGGGCTGGGAGAGGTGGGTTGACAGGGGAAACTGGCATTCTGCTGTTCTCAGGAGGCTCCGCTTTGATGGATGGCTGGGCAGCCTGTGCTGCATGGACCACCAGTGGTTGTTGAGGTGGTGAAGTGTGTCCCCGTTAACTCCACTCTGGGCAGTGAACTGAAGAGGGAGCAAAGCCCAGGAAATGGGCCTTCGTGGCAGTGGTGGAGGTAGAGTGACCCACAGCAAACCTCCCCACTTGTCCCTGACCATTCAGTAGTTCCAGAGGCAGTGAGCTTGGAATCTTAGCAAGAGAGATCTTGGGGTGGGGTGTGGACTTTCCACAAAGGCATTACCTACATGCACGTTCCCTTACACATGTAGCCTTCCAATCTCATACGTAAGAACACTTATTTAAGTAAAATATGCCTATTCCAACAGCAGGAGCTCTCGGCTGGGGAGTAGAGTTGTTATTAGTTTACTATTTAGTATTAACTGAGTAAACATTTAGAAAGGACTGGATGGGGGTGGGCACATGGGGCTGGGGTGCATTTGCTCTGGCTCTACATTTATGAAGGACCTCAAATTTCATTATGTGACATTTTCTGTAAACAAGGGTATATATACTACAACAGATACACAGAGGCTAGAAAAAAGTCCATCATAAAACTTCACACTTGTGTTCTATTACAAAACCACATTGTCTGCATGGTATTATGATGTCGGCAAATATATAAATCTTGTATTTATAGACATTTAAAAAATGTAAAATGCATATATTTATTATATGTAAACATCATAAATATACCATAACTTTTATATCCTTCTTTTCCTCCTCCTCCAATGGCTATCTTTAGAGATTCAAAAAAAAAAAAAAAAATTTCAAGCAGCAGCAAGACACTGAGATGAGGGAGGGGAGGGGATGGGATGGGATGGTGTTCTTTATTGATTAAGTGCTTTGAGTTCTTTGGGAAGTCAAACACCACAGAAATCTACTTAGCTTCAGCATATTGCTTGAGAGGTACTCTAGTAAGCCAAAGTTTGCCTGGTGTAGGATGTTTATCCTAAAGTGGAGTGGCCAAAAATGAATGCCACAAATTGCCCCACTCTGAATTCTGCTCCTCAGGGCCCAATAGCTGACTTTCTAATCTGCAAGAGCACCTGTGCTTCCTGGTCTCTGGGCCTTTGCAAGTGCTGTATCTCTAGCATGGACAGGGAATGCTCCTCCCCCTGAGCTCCTTCTTGAGAACTCTGAATCATCCTTTAAGACCCAGAGAACTTGTTATCACTTCTTTGATACATTGCTGGACCGCCTTTTCAGCCTGGCCCCTGAACTCCCACTGCACTGCGGAATGAATTGTTCCGTCCCCTGAGATGCTTTGGAGTCTTGTGTGTACCTTGCCAATGTATAGAGATAGCTGTGTGTGTCTCACCACACCATGAGCTTCCTATATAGGGTCACTTCTAATTCATCCTTGAATCCTCAGCCAAGAAGCCTGCAAAGGAAAGGTGCTCCATAAATGTTAAACCTAATTGAATCTTTTAATAAAATGATGAGTGTAACCTCTAACACTATAAAAATTAAACAAAAACTCTCAGAAGCAACAATGTGCACTAAAAATTAATTTGAAAAATTTCCTTCCATATACTGTTAGCAAAGTACTTTTCTTTTATAGGCCTCTCCTGTGCTATAAAACTCTTGAGTGTTCTAAAAATATTTTTAAAAATAGGCATTTAGAACCTCTTTAATGAACTACTTCCAAATGTGGCTAAGATATTTGAGGCTTTCCCCGCAGCAGGTGTAAAACCAGCAGTTGGAGCTGAACACCAAGAAGTGGGAATTCCTGGCTCAGAGATGGAGAGGTGTCTGTCTCGAAGTTTCACAGGTGGCAGGTGACAATATTCTTGGTAGAGACCCTGGTTAAAGGGTTGAAGTTCTCTCTGGGGGTGCTCTTTGGTATGTAGAGCAGCTTCCTGAGCTCTTGCAAAATAGTCGGTGCATCTCAAGTTCTCCGACTCTGACTTTATGTTTGCACAGGCAGGCTTGAGGCCCGCCACGTCACCTGTGATCTGACCACAGCACTGCTCAAATCTGCGGTGTAAATCGCAGCTTTATCCACTTGCTCACAGAACTGTAAATTAATTCTTGTCCTCTTTCCTGATTTCCTAATTGTCCTTGTTTATAAACGTGCTTTATGGTAAAGGCCATTAGTTTATCTCACAAGTTAAAATTAAGAAGAACAAAGGCTAGTCTAAAATAGAGCAGAAAACAAAAAATAAAAAGGTATTGTGGACCAAAAAAGAAGTATCAATTATTTTATTTGCTTCTAAGAGTTTAGCTTCAAATGCTGCCCTTAGAATCCATTATTACTAGAAATTCAAAATTACATTCCAATTTAGATTTAGATTGCAATGCTGATTTTTTTCCTTGTGTAAGGAATAACAATTTCAGATTTTATTTCAAAAGTAACATGTTCATCTCTGATTAAAGTACAACATATATGTAATTCAATGTAAGAATCCACTTAAGTATTTTTCCTTTGCTTGGCTGATGCCAATGTGTATTTCATGCAGTGTAGAAAAGCATTAATTAAGCTGCTGGGTAATGTCACTCCATATCAGTTTCAGGTATGATCATGTGAATAGCGAGAAGTATAATAGCTGTGCTTGTATCTTGGCAGCAGATGGCTTTTCGCTGCTGCCTCATTTCTCTGAGGCTCTGCAGAGGCCAACCACATAAAATGACTTTCGCATCTCCCTTCAAACCTCACGACATAGTGCCATTTTTGCTGGGCCGTGTACACCTGCTTTCACCAGACTCCAGTCTCGTAAAACTGTCAATTGGATCCTTTCACAAGAATACATTAGCATTGTTTAAGGGGTTGTGCATCACTTTTTTGACTGCTGTAATTTGTTTTAAGCAGAACTTAAAATGATTAATTGATTGATCCTTCTTTAAGGTATTACAAATACAGACCAACATCAGCAATTTTAGTGACACATTGAACATTCACATAACCCTCATATAGCATTGTTATGTGTGTTTGTGCATGTGTGTGTACTCACTGGGGTAAGATGTTTATGGAGACATATTAAGAACTGAGAAAGGGAAAACCCCACTTATTTGAGAGTTTGGGAAAAAGAGAAGCAGGGATAAGATGAAAGAGAAAAAAAAAAAGAGAAAAGAAACCTTAAAATTCACATGGAATTGTCAAGGAGCAGAGAAAAGACATCCAGGATCTTCAAGGCCTCCAACATTTCTGAGATAATCAAGTAAAGGATGAAACACTGAAGACTGTTCCTAGAAACCAGGTGTGTTTTAAATGTAAGGAAAAAAGCTAGGCTGCTCAATCCTTTAAAACTTGAAATTGTTGCTATCACGAGGGAGAGGAAGGCTGGTGTGGAGGTCAGGCCCTGGGCAAACCAAACCTCTGAGCTACTCACCACAGGCTAGTTCATCTCAGTGTTCTAATGAGATCAGTCGAGGCTCTTTTTGTTGAGTGAGAGAGAGAGAGAGGAATAGTTACAGATGTGACATTTCCTAAGACTTTATGAATTAAATTTCCTGTTAACTACTTTGAGGGCAAATGTATCTTAAAGCAACAGGGTACCTTCTGCTCCCAAGCTCCGCTCAATGATTATTAACTCTTTAATTGGGCAAAGTCTGTTTATGCCAGTCAGACATAGAGAAATTTACATAGTGTACATATTACCGTGAGAATTCCTCTAATATACAATTGTCAATCAAAGTAGAGATGGGTCTTCAGGTTTAGGAGGGTGAGGATAAGTTACACCACAAATGCAAACAGATACAGCTGCTGTTATAAACACACCAGTCCTATGTCATGCTTATCTGAATTCTTTCTGGTACTCACTTTTAAACCAATAAAAATTTCAGGAAAATGTTGGAGATATTTTTGTGCCTTCAGAACCATCACTTACATAAGGAAACTTTTGAATAAAATGAGTTTTTGGAAATAAAAGTGGTAAATGGTTGTAATATAAGAAGTTACATACCAAATAATAGCTTATGCTGTATTTTCAACATGCTAGTTTTTGGATGGGTAATTTTTTTGGTAATAAATCTGAGTTGGGTCTGAAATGGGAGGTTTGTATTTACTGTAGGATCTGTACTTCCGATCATCTCTCCTAATGTGGGAATAATTTCTGATTGCTGGTCAATTGTCTTGAGATTCTCAGATGGAAACGAAGCTCACATTGCCAAATATTTTTACTGGGCCTAATGATAGATCACCTGAGTGTATCCTTCCTTAACAATTAACTTCAATTTAGAAGACATTTAGAGTCTTTTGGAAGACATTTGATAGCAAGTGAAGTGATTTGTGGAAAGACTGTGAATTTCAGTCTTTCAGATGAAAGATGATAATGGGATTGAAGTCTTTTTTTCTGATTTATTATTTATGTTTCTATTTCTTACACAGTGAAACTTCCTATTTTTCAGGGAACTGAACTTGTTTCAGCCCGATGGCTGATACAATTATTAGAGGGTTGTGTTGCTTTATGGGCCCTATGTTAAGACTTTTAAGTAAATTTGGTATGTATTACTAATAGGCAATGCTTAAGAGCCTGGCAAAAAGAGAAAACTGTTGTGAAAACAGCTTTAACCTGTCAGGAATGAGAGTGAGAAGAGGGAGCTAAATAGGTGATGTAGTTCATCATCTCAGATTGGTATATTTTGGAGGAGGTGGGAGAAAAAGAATAAGGTAATACACATTCCATTGGAAAATTTCTAGAGAATCTAGAAATTTAAAAAAATCTAAGCAAATCATTGTTCTTCTAAGAAATAAGTCTCACTATTAATTTGTCACATGCCAAATGTTTGTAATTGCCTTTGGGCCACTATGGGAGGGTTTTCGTTCATCACAGCCATGAAAAAACCACAATACTGCTTCCTAAAGCCAGTTTTCTTTTCTTTTTCCTTCTTCCTTTCTTTTTTTTTTTTTTTCCAAGGACAAATCTCCTTGTCCTGAGCTCAGAAACTCAGAAGGGTTGGGAGCTTTGGGGATGGCCAGAGATTTCAATCTTGATGAGAAATTCCTTGTCAGTGACAAGTTGCTATAAAGCAGGGCAGTTTTCCCAGAGGGGCTGGTAAAAATACACACGCATTAGTAAAGTAAAGCAAGGGGAAGACACTGCCAGGTCTAGCTGTCCAGTCAGAAGTCAAAATGTTTGTGCACACCAGACAGTGTGTCTGGCTACCTCGAGGGAGGGTCCATGTTTGGTCTGGGAAAACAGTTCCATGTTCACCACCAGGGAAAGCCTGTGGGTGAATAACAATGACCAGGCCCTACTAGCCAGGAAGAGCCTCTTTTCTAAATGGCTGTCTCATTAGGTTGAGTGGGAGTGTTTTTCAGCATGCAGCTTTGAGACAGAGCAGCCCGAACAGCTGTTCCCATCAGAGGGTAGCACACAAGTCTGTGAACCCAGAATGCTTCCGTGGACTGGCCTTTCAGTGGAAGGCGGCCACCCACTTGGTGGTGTTGCTGTGGCCATCCTCAACTTGTCTTTCCATCTCTCTTATATCTTTAGGGGATTTTCAGCCAGTGTGGAGTGCTGGGTATATTCTAGAAGGCTGCACAATAAATTCTCACTTTCCAAGCAAAGATTTTTCAGCACAAACATCCAAGAAGGCAGTGTGTCATGCTGGTAGAGAGGCACCAATTACATAAAAGCCAGTGCTGGTCAGCATGTGTGTAATTATTTATTTCAGCTTTCTGTAAAAGGAGGGGCATTTTATTCAAGCCAGGCAGAAACCTGGCAGTTTCCCAGTTGTGAAATTCTATTGACAAAGGTGTTAAGTGAAGGGCAGGGTAACGTGGTATGCTAGGCCCCTGCGCCTTCATCTCTGTGACCTGGGCATGTGTCAGGCCCAGACTGAACTGACCAGAATGACTTTGATTTGATGACCGTTAAAGGTCAGGCACATAATGGGATCAGATGTGTCAGTGGAGGGTGAAGTACATAGCATAATAGATTGATGGTAATTAAGTAGTCGTGTTTAATAAGAGTCATCAGAGTTAAAGGCATTGTTGGAATGAGCAGCTTGGGAAAGCAATGAGAAGGCATGAAGAAAGGAGGTGGGAAATATGTTAAGGAATAACTTTTTTGTTACACTAAAGGAAAGATCAGAAGAAGACCAGTGTGTCTCTGTGTGTGTGTGTGTGTGTGTATGTGTGTGTGTGTGTTTTAGGAGACAGCATTTTATCTGTCTAAAAATTGGTGTTTTTGTTTTTTTGTTCCTAGATGATTTTTTTTAAGGGCCAAGTAGGGTCAGTAGAGGAGAATTAAACTTTATGAACTTATAAATGGCCCCAAATCATCCTAATTACATATATGTGTATCCAGAAAATGTAAACCACAATCCTCCAGATAAAAATAGTTCAACAAATATTTCAGATGAGATTGGGCATGTTCAGGATGGTACGGCTGTAGACAGTGGTATGGCCATAGACTCAACAAATATTTCAAACATTAATCTATATTTTTTATAGGATGAGAATTTGGGTTATTACTGGCTTTTTATTTTTATATAAATCATAGAACTCCTAGAATTGATTAATTGCTTGTTCAGTGAAACTTTTGTAGTTTTGGAAAATTATCATTCTTCGATAATACTTAATCATATTATTGTGAAGTGTTATCATTTAGTAAGAGAGCACATTGAACTAGAATAAATGAATAAGAGCAGGTTTTGATTGCTGCAACCATGATACATTTTCAGTATTATTTTTGTCAGTTTGCACAAATCATCAATGGTCATTGGGTTTATATGCAGATTACGTAGGTTCAATGTAGAATGAGCAGGTGTTGAGAATGCAAACAGTTAATTAGGATGACATTGACTGTACCATCTGATAATGGAGAGTCCAGGTAAGGGGCTTCACATCTAATCTGAATTGTGACTTGACAAATCTCAATGATCCCTTCTTTGTGCGATTTCTCTCCTAGTTCTGTGTCACAGATGTATACTAAAGAAGTGTTCTGGCTTACAGAAGTTCTGACTTACTCTTTTCATCTGATCTTCGTTTCAGTAAATCTCAACCTGAAAGCAGAGCTGAGTTGGGAAAAGATTGTGAGGTGGAATTTATTTTATTTTTTTAATGAATTACCTGTCTTTCCTCCTTCTAGCAACCATGACCTGGGCAGTCTGACCCCAGCGCCTCTGCACTTAACCACTATATTATACTATCTGAGAGTTCTCAAGAGTATGGCTTCGTTTCATGAGAGTTTTATCTTATCTTTGAAACTCTGGTGCCAACACAGTGCCAGGCACACAATAAAAGAGAAGTTATTTAATCAGATTAACTCCCACTGATATTAGCTAACTTATGCATTCTGACAAAAGTGTCTCAGGAATAGGTGATATAACCTTTGCCTATAGGTGGAAGTTGATGTTTTATGAGATATATTTGAGTGGGCACCACAAATAGTATCAGGCACAGAGCCTTCTGCTCTTGCTCACTCTGAAAATATTCTCTTTGCAGCGTGTGACCCAAAGTAAGTGGGGTCTTAGCTACATGGAGTCCAATGGCTGGAAGTGATGTTAGTCTAACTCCTTTCGTTTAAAAATGAACTGATTCTGTTGGCGGCTGGGCACAGTGGCTCATACCCTGTAATCTCAGCACTTTGGGAGGCCTAGGGGGGCAGATCACCTGAGTTCAGGAGTTCAAGACCAGCTTGGCCAACATGGTGAAACCCTGTCTCTACTAAAAATACAAAAAAATTAGCCGGGCATGGTGGCGGGTGCCTGTAATCCCAGCTACTCGGGAGGCTGAGGCAGGAGAATCGCTTGAACCTAGGAAGCAGAGGTTGCAATGAGCCGAGATCGCACCACTGCACTCCAGCATGGGCAACAAGAGTGAAACTTCTTCTCAAAAAACAAACAAACAAACCTCTGTTGGCATCTGTGTGACAGTTCAAAATATTTAGTATGAAGAAAGAGAGTTTGGAGTGCTTAAAATACAGATTATCATCTTTTAAACTTGATGGCCAATGTTTTATCTCATGTCTTGTCTCTTGATTGGAGTCGTAAGGAAGTTTTTCTTCTTTTTATAGGGTTTTGCCTTACCTCTCCTGTCAATGATGCAGGTAATGGTGAGGGCTGAGAGTGACAGTGCAGAGCTAGCACTACAGATGTTCTGGGCACCTATTTATTGACAGTTTGAGGAGGTTACAAAAACAACTCCTACCTTAGCTTGTTTGTTTGTTTGTTTGTTCATTTTTGAGACAGAGTCTCACTCTATTGCCCAGGCTGGAGTGCAGTGGCACGAACTCAGCTCACTGCAAACTCCACCCCCTGGGTTCAAGCAATTCTCCTGCTTCAGCCTCCGGAGTAGTTGGGATTACAGGCATGCACCACCATGCCCAGCTGATTTTTGTGTTTTTAGTGGAGATGGGGCTTCACCATGTTGGCCAGGCTGGTCTTGAACTCCTGACCTCAGGTAATCTGCCCGCCTTGGCCTCCCAAAGTGTTGGGATTACAGGTGTGAGCCACCGTGCCCGGCCAGCTTGTTTATTTTTTGAAAACATTTATAAACAATCAAATCAAAGAGCTATTCTACAACAACTGCTACTACTATTATGACTACTAGTTGCTTACATTTATGGAGTACTTTCTGCATGCCAAGCATTGTTCTGAAGACATGTAGCAGTGCACTTGGTCCTCACAACAACTCAATGAGGCAGGTGCTATTAATATGCCCATTCTATAGATTAGGATAGTGAGACGCTGACAAGTTATGTAAATTCTCAATTAAGAGGTTAAGAAATGTGAAATAGAGCAAAGTTTCAAATTAACAGGAAAATTCACCAACACTAGCTGATATACCAGACAATTTTTATCTGTTTTAAATTCTTTATAAGGTTGGTTTATTTTTTAGCTAGAGTAGACATCTTAGGCTTTCTAAGCTGCAAGGGAAATTGGAGAGCAGCTGGCCTCACAGCATCACTTTATTGATTAGAAATGTGAAGCTCAGAGAGGTAAAGTGACTTTCTTAAGACCGCAGAGCTCTTTGAATCTAGACTTTAAGCCCTGCACTCTTTTTCCTATATCAGGCAATATTTCTCATGCTACGTTTTCATTTTCAAAATAGCATAAAATCCTAGTGTTTAGTCTTCTATCTCCTATTTTACAGAAAAGAAAATAAAGATACTTTAAAAAAACTAGATCTCAGTTCCTTGTTGAGTACCTATCGCTAGCTCTGGCTGCTTTAGAATCTGCGGTGTCAGAGGCCTGGACCTTTGCTTGCTCCCATGAGCCTGGTGCCTGGCTGCACCTTGACGAAGGTAACAATAGGTATTATCGGCCTCTCATATTCTGCCCTCACTAGGGTATTTTGGCTGTGGTTACTTCCTGAGCCCATGGAGACAACCTTGGCTGAATCACTTAAAACACTTTTTAATCAGAACCAAGCACCTTATTTTACCAAAATAACCCCTTTTAAAGGTGTCACAATTTGTTCAACAGATAAGCATCAAAGGGCAATAGAAAAACTGGAAGCAGACATCATAATTAGATGACTAAAATGAAAGAGCAGAGTGATTTAGCAATGGTTGAACATTTGGCAAAGAATTTTCATCAGGCTTCATCCCAATTCTTTCAACAGAGGAGGGAAGAAGCTTCTGAGAACTGTTTGAAATGGTGGAATAGCAATTAAAGGCCTTCGTCATTAACAGAGAGGAAGCAGAAATGAATGTTATTTGCCTAATATGGCATTATGGGCATTGGAAGCCAGAGGGTTGCAATGGAAATAAACCTGTTGAAAACCAAATAAGATGAACACAGGGGAGTACAAAAGAAGGAAGGAAGATGACCATCACTCTGGCCCTCTGAGCCTTGTGTTAAAATGAGAATTCTGTCCCCTTCTAAGAATAAGCCTTCCAGTATGCACTTCAGGAAGTCCCATTGCTTCGGCTCGGATGGCTATTATGAAAAACAAAGCAATTGTTTGTTGACACGATATTCTAGCAGGTGCAGTTCCATTTTAAACAAGAAGCCGCTATTGTTTTCAGGAATCATGTTGATGACTGTCTTAGAACATGAAGGGCTGGTTCCGCAGGGGGACACCAGGGTGCTGTTTTTCATTTTGGCCCTTGGGGCCAACAGTTCTCAGCCTCTGCACGTTTATGACTAGCACCTCCTACAGGGTGGTGTGAGTTTTAAAAAGGAAGGCAAGTTTGTTTTTATAAATAATATTTTAAAAACCCTGATTTTCATATTCTGAGGAAAATTCTTGGGCAGAAGGGGAGAGTAGGGCTGTTCAGATATTTCTTTGGTAGTCACTGAACCCTGGGGGTGGAGGAGACACTTGATTTACCGTCTTCAGTTCAGGAGGAAGCCCAGTCAACAAGGTAAGGGCTGTGTGGTTAACTAGCAAGTGAGAAGGGACTTTGGAATTAAGGCTCGGTGGTGGCCTGCCTTTGTTAAAATCACTGGATACCTGGGGCCCAATCTTCTCCCCAGGTGAAGGGAGGAAAGAGACAGTGAGGGGAGAAAAGTGACAGCAAAATCTTGAGGTGCCTCCCTGCTTCATGAGCACCCAGGAGGGGAAGGGCCAGGTGGGCAAAGGCATCCAGGGCTCTCCTTCCTTTTGTGTAGTGGTGACACCTCTCCAGCCCAGCCTTATTTGTGGGATGTGGAGCTGTGTGACGTGTTGCGGTTGATTTATGGGCAGCACCGAGCAGTAATCCCTCCCCTGGCTCTCTCCTCGGCCTTCTCAGCACAGCGGCACTAAATATCCAGCCCGACTGGGGATGCGCTGCGGCCGGTGCACCCGGAGTGAGGGCTGTGTTAGCCTCTCAATTTACTTTTTCAGAACCACGATAAATTCAGGTACAAATGGCAGCAAAATTAACTGTGAAAATGCCACCATATTTTGCAGGCCAGTTGCTGTTAGCTTCAATCTGGTTTGGTTTTTATAGCTGTTTCTCTTTAGTAGAAAAGAGTGGACTTTTTTTTTTTTTTAAATGTTTAGATGACAGATTACCAGCTTCAACAAAATGCTGCTACTAAGCAGAAGAAACAACTGTCTTTTTTCTTAGAGGACGGTGGCTTTTAGGTATAATGCCTACTTTATAGTTTGTGTTAGATTTTACTATCTTCTTTGAGAAATGCTCACGTATTTTTTATTACTAATACTGAGCAAATATTTAATTGATTTATGCTCTATATCTCACATACAGTGGGGAAGCAAAAGGCAAATTAATATTACTAAACCAGAATTATTCTGATTTTTTTAGGTGGGTGTAAGCCATGGTGAAATTTATCGGTTGTTGTTTAATGACCCAGTGTTATCAGCTGTATTTTATTTTTTCTATTTATTTTTGAGATGGAGTCTCACTCTGTCACCAGGCTGGAGTGCAGTGGTGTGATCTCGGCTCACTGCAACCTCCGTCTCCTGGGTTCAAGCAATTCTTCTGCCTCAGGCTCCTGAGTAGCTGGGACTACGGGCGCGCGCCACCATGACCAGCTAATTTTTTGTGTTTTTAGTAGAGACGGGGTTTCACCATGTTGGCCAGGATGGTCTTGATCTCTTGACCTCGTGATCCACCCCACCATAGCCTCCCAAAGTGCTGGGATTACAGGTGTGAGCCACCGCCCAGCCTATTTTTTCTATTTTTGATAAAGTGAACTGAAGTGACAAATTATGTAAAAAGCTACTGGGCCATTATGAAATATAATCTGGTTGAGATATGAAGGGCTAGTGGGAGTAAACGAAAGGAAGTGTGTGTGGTTCAAACTCACCTTGACACCTATTTGTTGGGCCTTCTTAGACAAGTCACTTATTATTTCTATGTGGAAATGTCTTTGTTTCTAAAATGGGATTAACTATATGCCATGGCCCCATATTGGGACTAGATGCAATGATAGATCTGAAGTTGTGATCTCATTTTGATGGCACTGAAAGGGAAGACAAAGAAGCTTAAGGAGGAGAGGAAGAAAAGTCTAGGGTCTGCCTGGGAGCTATGAAGGAGGAGAAAGCTTGGAAAGAGCTCAGTGCAAAGGAGCTGAGGGTTGAGGAGCCAAGGTTATGAAGAATAAAGATCCACTCACCTGAGACAGGAGAGGGGAGACAGTTGTTCTAAGAAGTGTCCCAGGGCTGGTCAAGGCTCAGGAGTTCAGGGCCTGAAACTCTCTTCATGGTTCTAAATGGTTGGTATAGACTCTGATGGCAGGTGGGCTACCCATTCTTTGGCTAAAACAATTATCAGTATGAAATTTTCTCCCTTTATAATCCCGCCCCTCCCATTAGCTGCTAGATTCTGGCCAATATGAGGTAGGGGACAAGTCTTTATAGACCAAAGTTGCTCAAAGAAGAGAAAAACCAAAGGCACCGCAGACCAAGTTTTATAAGTGATGTCAGCTTTTCTCTAACTCTGCTTTGGTTGTTGCTCTAAAGTGTTGGGGTCAAGTTTCTTAACTTCATTTGGACTGGCAGGAAAGAAGACACCTAGTGGAACTTTTAATCAGACAAGCACTATACAGTATACTTTGCCACTCAAAGTATAGTCTATGGACCAGTAACTTGGGAGCCTGTTAAAAATGCAGACTCTCAGGCCCATCTCAGATCTACTGAACTAGAATCTGAGTTTTAACAACATTCGCAGGTGATTTATGTAAACATTGAAGTCAGGTCAAGACTCCTTCTGGGTGCACATGAACATTCACAAACACACAAATATTCATTATGCAAATGATTTACTTTTATTGTAAGGTTATAAAAATATAGAAATACATAAAAAATAATAATTACCTATGGTCCTACCTCTGTTAGGGGTCTTTTAATTTTCTTTATCTTTTAATTGAAGAAGTCTAGACTTTTTTGTGAGGGGGAAAGCCATTCTTCTACAAAGCCACTCCCATATCTTAAAAAAATATACTGGGTTTGACTAATTGCTCCTAGTTTTGTGGGAGGGCGAAGAAAATACAATGAAAATAGAGATATAACCCTAGTTTCTGTTGTGTCACAAACTTTCAAGACTTACAAGGAATTGGAGAATAGAATTGATTATTAACTTTAAGCTATTCTATACTCATTTTAATTCCAACATTTGGTTGATTTATGTTACAAACAGATTTGGTATCATAAATGGGCTCAGAGCTCTATGCATCTAAGGTTCAACAAACCTACTTCATCTGTATGTGGAAGTTGGTAGGAAAACATGTATCAGAATTTCCCTTCCTCTTTGAGCAGTCTATCTAGAAAGATTAATTGACCCAACTCTAAAGGGTGGCTTTGTAGATGATTTTTAGCAGGAGGTAGGTGATGTAGTTTGAACAATGTTTTCTTTCAGTGAAGCCGAAATCTTTGTTACTGCTTTTCAACTATAAGGAATAAATTGGCCGTGTGCAGTGACTCGTGCCTATAATCACAGCACTTTGAGAGGCTGAGGCTGGTGCATCACCTGAGGTCAGGAGTTTGAAACTAGCCTCGCCAACATGGCATCTCTACTAAAAAAATACAAAAATTAGCCAGGTGTGGTGGCAGGTGCCAGTAATCCCAGCTACTTGGGAGGCTGAGGCAGGACAGTCGCTTGAACCCAGGAGGCGGAGGTTGCAGTGAACCAAGATCGTGCCACTGTACTCCAGCCTGGGCAACAGAGCAAGACTCTATCTCCAACCAAAAAAACAAAAAAACCAAAACCAAAACCAAAAAAACTCTAAGGAATACATTTCTTTTTCTGAGCCCCCTCTTTTCTTCCCCAAACTTCGTGAGAATTTAATTCACCAAAATAGGGTGAGATGAAGCTTTCCTTGATGCCTCCATGCCTCCTTTGCACAAGTTCAATGTTTAGAGGTTTCCCAGCAATTGTCCCCAAGCAGGCAGCATGCTTTGGGCATTGTCCTCATGGGTAGGAGATGCTCCTGGGGGAGAACCAGCCAGTATGCCACAGAGCTGAGCTCTTACTGACAGCGACTCCCCCTCTGCCTCCCACTCCCAGTTTCAAGGGCTGGCTGGCTGGGCCATTCTCGAAGATTTGGAAAGGAGCCACCAACAGGAATGATTGAACAATTGCTCTGTGAAACTTGAGATAACACTTTGTTCCACCACAGTGGAATTGCTGTGTGACAGAAGGAAATTATCATTTAGTTTTTGGTTAACATTTATGTGAGAAAAATAAAATTAAAGTTGATGGTATCTAGTCCAAGAAATGCTTGTATTTATTTTAAAGAATATTAACTTAGCACTTTTGTAGAGTGAGGGTAACCATCTTTGGAAGATTCATTGTTTGAGTTGCAATTGAAATCAAAACAAAACAAAATGAAAACCAATAATGTCCTTTAAGAAGCCAGTGGAATGCCTCCTGGCTATCAAATTCAGTTCCCTGAAATCAATGGGATTTCTAGAAATAATTGGATTATGAATATAATGGTATGAAGTAGGTCCATCTCTATGGATACTTGGAGGTGTGTGTGTGAGGAGTAATCTTATGGATTTTTGAAAATTTCAACATGTAGAAAAAGGTGGACAAGTTTCACTGAGTTCATTATAAGTTTTGCAATCAAATGAATAAAGCAAACATTTTACTACTAATATATAAGTAATCTCAATAGTTCTTGTGTTAAAAATGCTAGTAGAAATAACTTTTAATTTAGTTCTCAAAGTATCAAATTCATATGTTCATTCATTCAGCCCATATTTTATCAAGGGCCATTTCTGTGTAAGCACTGTCTCAGCCCCTGTGGGTGATACTGTGATGAATAAGACAGGGTTCTTGTGTTAATAACTTTATAGTTGGCTAGAGGAGACATGAACGTGGTGGGTACAAGGTGTCCTGAGAAAGTTAAGCCAATTTAACAACTATTTCCAACATCTCTCTAGCCTGCTTTTCCTTTAAGTATAGGGTCATGTATTTGTGAGCCTATGTGTTTTATAAACATGTATTAGTATTTGCACTTGTATAGTGCTTACTATGGGCTAGAAACTTTCTAGACGCTTTAGAGATGTGAACTCATCTAATATATGATTATTAACCCCCCATTTTACAGATAAGAAAATGGAGGCAAAGACAGATTGGATAACTTGCTGAACTTGGTGGAGGAGAAGGACTTGAACTTAGCAGCCCAGCTTGAGTCTTTCTATGTGCTGTGCTGTGCTGTCTTCCCGAAGCGGGTGCACTAGCAGTATAACCCAAAAAGAGGTGTGCAGAGCTTAACTGGGTGTGTGGGCTCATGCCTTTTATCCTAGCTGCCCAGGAAGCTGAGGCAGGAGGAGGCCAGGAGTTTGAGACCAGCCTGGGCGAAATAGTGAGAGACCGTCTTTTTTTTTTTTTAAAGAATTGTGCAGAGCTCACTGCTTATTACCTGGTAGATTT